>NC_000001.11:240123515-240275030 GCF_000001405.40 Homo sapiens | reverse complement strand
AGGTATACCACCAGGTTCATGCACTTTGTCTCAGCAAAAAGTCTACACCTGTAGTCTCCAAATCACTGTCTTTCCATTCTCTCTCAAGCAAACAAAGTCTGACCTGGAATTGCTGATCTTCCGCTCCCAAACCTGCTCTTTCTGCAGTTTTCCCTATCTCAGTAAATGCAATGACAACCTTTCATTAACTTAGGCCAATAATCCTAGAGTCCTATCTTTTTCTCACAGTCTACATCACCAAAACCTGTTGCCTCCTCCCTCGAAACATATTAGGAATCTGATATCTCACACGTCTCCACTGCTCCCACTCTGGTCCTGGCCGCCAGCATCTCACATCTGTTGCTGTGATAGTCTCCTCACTGCTCTTCTTGCCTACCTCCCTTCTTCTTGATATTCTGCACTCAGCAGAGCATCCCTTGGAAGACAAATCAGACCAATCGTTCCTCTACCTAAACCCTCTGTTAGTATTTCCTCTTTCTTAGAGTAAAAGCCAAACTTCTTAAAAAGTCAGCAAAGCCCTACATGATCTCCCTCCCCCGCAGACCCCATTGTTTATCCAAATCACGTCTCCAATTCTCTCCCCGCTGAGTGCTCTCTCCAGGCACTCTCACATCGTGCTGATCCTTCAGTCACCCCAGGATCCTTGCAGTTGCCTGGTTGTTTTCCCTCACATGCTCTTTCCTCAGATATTTACAAGGTTCCTTCTGTCATGGCCTTCAGCTATCACCTTCCAATTGGGCTTTCCCTGACTCCTCCCTCTCCTCTCATGATGTGCTCCTTATTTCCACTCTCTCTTTTTTTTTTTTTTTCGTTTCCCCCATGGTACATATTAAAATTGTTTTTCTTCTATGGGAACACAGACATGGATTTTTGTCTCTCTGTCTTTATTTCTGTATCCCACTGCCAGGAGTGGAGCTTGGCAGAGAGTAGGCAAACAGTTAATGTTGAGTGAATGCTGAAGCATTGGAAGAAATCAAGGAAGGAAAGAAAGCAGTAGGAGTGAACGAATTATGGCCTCCCTGATGTTAATGTCAATGCTGGCATCTTTCTTTGTGGAAACAACAGGGACTAGTAAGTACAACAATAAAATCAGTCACTCTCATACACCCTAACATTCATATGAAAGTACTTCACTAAGGCAATCATAGTCTTTCCATGCATTCTCTTTATCTCTCTACTTGGCACAGAAGTTGGCATAGAGAGATCCCCCAACACCTGAGAGTCACCTGAATCACAGAACTCACCTGATTCAGAGTCACCTGAATCACAGAGAGAAGATACAGCAAGTGGTAATAATAGAAGGAATAAAGCAAATTCTCAAGTTATCCATCACATCTTTTTCCTCCCTGTGTGTGTGTCTCTGCCCCCTCTGCCTTTCCCCTCATGCCACTCCCATACACAGAACATGAATGTGTACTCTAGCGAGACAGTACAACACTAAAGCACTGCACACAGCAACCATAGCCTCTAACCAGTAGACTAGCTCTATAGCTAAGAACCACACAGGAAAAAAACAAATCATGCACTGTTTTTCCAGCTTAAGCCACTGATAGAATAAGTAACATTGAGAGTTCTCAGCAAGTACAGCAGAGGTTCAGAGCATGGACCTGGACCCAGAATGCCTGTGTTTAGATCATAGCCCCACCACCTGCTAATTAAGTTTCTTTTACTACTCTATGCCTCAGTTCTTTCATCCTGAAGATGGAGATAAAAACACCTGCCTCATACAGTTGTTGCAAGTCTTTGCATAGTAATGTCTGTAAGTGTTCCCTATTATGATCAGCTATTGTCTATCTTAAATTTGGAACCATAAAAATAGCATTAATCGGAATCTTGCAGACAATCTATTTCAATGTCTTCCTCAATTCAGAAATTCTCTTTACAACTTAATTCATAAGAATTTCATGCTGTTTTTGACAATGATAGAGAACCCTCCTCTTAAGTTCCACCATTTCCTCAAATGAGCCTGCTATTATGCTCTAGTGGCTAAAGCAAGGGAACAATTCTTTCCTTTATAATCTATCGGAGAAGTGACAAAGTTCTTACGGAGATTTGGAAACTGTGCTTTTTCCATTATAGGCCTTTCTATACAACTTATTTTCTTAATCACGTGCATATAATTATCTGATTTAAATTGTTTAATGTAAAAATGTAGTCAGAGGTATTTGGCTGAGAAAATAAAGATCTCGCTGTATTCATGTTTGACCGTGAAAGAAGATGCAAGATAGTCAACAGCACGAAATGTCATTGCTTCAGCCATGCCAAAAGATAACATGTCATCACATGACTTTGATGTTTTAGCTGATGTCTCGGCACACTGAGCTGAGAGGAAGGACTATGATTATATTTGTAGAATATACCTCACAAGAATAGGACACATGCGGCTCCATAAGGGAAAGGTGAAAAGTGTCAATTATTGCATCTTCTCCAGAACTCTCAGAATCCTCACTTCATCCAACTGGATAAAGGTGGCCAGGGAGCATCCTGAGAGTATCCACTTAGGGATGCTGGAGAAGTGCTTGTCAAAACACAAAGAACTTTCAATCAGCCAATTTTGAAATACAAACATAACTCTACTTATGAAAGGGGCTTCCCCTTGCCCCAAAATAACAGTGCCAATCCGACCCCTCTCAAGGATTATGCCAAAGGAATCTTTTTGCAAAAACCACACCTTTTACACAAAGTAGTTCAAGGGTCAAAGTTGATGTGATTAATTATGGGCTCACACTAAGTGCTCTGTGGTCAAACTTGGGCTCTACCTCCATGCATGCTCCATGTGGTCCTGGACAATTCCATTCGCAGTCACCCACTGATCTTAAAGAACAGATGCAACATTATGGGGAGGAAGGCCTTGAGCTGCAGTGGGCTGTCTTCAGGCTCACAGAGTCACCCTCCTAGTGAGGGTCAAGAGGTTGGCCAAAACAAACAAACAAATAAACAAATACATGATTCTCAATTCAGACAGTAAGTACAATGAGGGAAAAGAATAACCATATGCAAAGCTCATGGCTTTGGTACAACCCCAAGTATTGCATTCTTTCTTCCCATAGAAGTATAATCAAAAAGTCCAACTATGGAACAATGTCATTAAAAATATAATCTAAGCTCAACCCAAGTTTTTTGCTGAACTTGTAGTAAAAGACATTATAATTCATTTGACCTTGATCTAATAATTTATGTGTGATTTC
The DNA here is from genome assembly GCF_000001405.40 of Homo sapiens. Classification (NCBI taxonomy): domain Eukaryota; kingdom Metazoa; phylum Chordata; class Mammalia; order Primates; family Hominidae; genus Homo; species Homo sapiens. The sequence continues at coordinate 240,271,842 of NC_000001.11, read as the reverse complement.
AAAAGACATATGAGGTATTTCTTTTTATAAAAAGCTCTAGGTAATGAACTTATATTTTAAATTAAAACAAATTCTCATATTAAATTTCTGAGAGTAGGTTTTTATGAAAGCCTAGTATCTCACATGTACTTTTCTCCACTACAAGGCTACAATTGATGAAAAGGTTACACAGGCTCACTGGAGCCTACTTTCTTCTCAAATTTCTAATTCTCAATGACTTTACATTTCAATGAAAACCATTCACTAAACCTCCCAACAGCATTTAGTACATTTTTAATGTCTCAATAAATATAATAAACAGGTCTTAAAATTCTATATCCCATGTGAGGAAAACACTTTAAAAAAAAAGGTTTAAAAAAATGGGGGCATGAAGCAATTTCTAAGCAAGCCTTATAAGCTTGAGTTTCATTAAAAAAAAAAAAAAATCAGACACTGAAAAGCCTAGTGGGGAAAAACAACATTGCTCACACTGAGCCTAATTTTTGAGACTATTACAAAAATAAACAAATGATGATGAATGAACTTTCTTATGGTAATTAATAGGGAAGCGAAAAAGCCTGTGTCTCCAAGAATGAAGCCAGACTCTATGAAAAGGACCTGGAGTTTGTAATGTACAACTTGTTCCATAGGAAATTTCATAAGAAAACCATGATTCAGTGGCAACCCCAACAGGATAAAAGAAGTGCAAATGTGTAGGCTATCCAAATACATGCAAACAGAGTCACAAAAAAAAAAAAAAAAAAACCATCGTGGAAAGTTCCTAGGGGGGTCAAAGGGTTATTTGCAGATTTTTAAAGAAGTGTTCTTGTGCTTTAATTATTTATTTAACATATCCATCATCTCAAATATTTTAAACCCTCTTGTTTAGCTATTTTGAAATATACAATACATTATTATTAACCATAGTCACCATGCTGTGCAATAGACCAGCAGGACTTATTCCTCCTATCTAAATGAGACTTTGTACCCACTGACCAAGTCTCCCCTTTCCCCATCCATCCTGTCCCCTCAGCCTCTAGTAACCACCACTCTACTTTCTACCTCTATTACTTTGACTTTTTTAGATTCCACATATAAATGTGATCGTAGAGATTTTGTCTCTCTGTCCCTGGCTTATTTCACTTAACATAATGTCTTCTAGGTTTGTCCATGTTGTTACAAATGACAGAATTACCTAGTTTTTTAATTGTATTTCATTGTGTATATATATATTATATATTTTAATGCAATCATCTGTTGATGGACACTTAGGTTGTTTCCATTTCATGGCTCTTGTGAATAATAATACAATTAGCTTTGTGCTGTGGCAGTTATCAAAGCCAATGAGGTGCTGTTGCAGTACTACTGAAGCCAATGAGGTTTATCCGAGGTGTGATTATTGGTAATAATGCTGCAATGAACATAGAAGTATAGACATCTCTTAGACATACTGAAGTCATTCCCTTTGGGTATATACCCAGTAGTGAAATTGCTGGATGATGTGGAAATTCTATTGTTATTTTTTGAGAAATCTTCACACTGTTTTCCACAATGGCTATATTAACTTACATTCCACCAACAGTATGGAAGAGTTCTCTTTTCCCCACATCCTTGGCAAACTCGTTTCATGATAAAAACTCCCAACAAATTGGGTATAGACAGAATGTTTCTTAATATGATAAAGGCCATATATGATAAGCCAAGAGCTAACAGGATACTCAATGGTGAAAAGTTGAAAGCTTTTCTTCTAAGATCAGAAACAAGACAAGGACGCCTACTCTCACCACATCTGTTCAACATAGTACTGGACATCCTAGCCAGAGCAATTAGGCAAGAAAAATAAATAAAAGGCATTCAGATAGAAAAGGATGAAATGAAATTGCCTCTGCTTGCTGATGACATAATCTTGTATATAGAAAATCCTACAGACTCTATCAAAAAACTGTTAGAACTGATAAATTCAATTAAGTTGCAGGATACAAAAGTCGACCTATAAAAATCAGAAGCATTTCTATACACTAACAACAGTCTGAAAAAGAAAAAAGAAAACAGTTCCATTTATAATAGCATCAAAAAATACTTAGGAGAAAATTTAACCAAGGAAATGAAAAATCTGTACACTGAAAACAATAAAACATTGATGAAAAAAATTGAAGACGACATAAATAAATGGAAAGATATGCTGTGTTTATGGATTGGAAGACTCAATATTGTTAAAATGGCCATACTACCTAAAGCAATCTACAGATTCAATGTAATCCCAATCAAAATTCCAGTGTCATTCTTCACAGAAATAGAAAAAATAATCCTAAAATTTATTTGAAACCACAAAAAAAACCAAATAGCCAAAGTAATCTTGATCAAAAAGGACAAAACCAGAGAAATCACACAACCAGATTTGAAAATATATTACAAAGCTATAGTAATCAAAACAGTATGGTGGTGGCATAAAAATAGACACATCGTCCAGTGGAATAGAATGGAGTGTCCAGAAATAAACCCAGCTAACTACAGTCAATTGATTTGCAACAAAGGTGTCAAGAACACAGAATGGGGAAAGGACAGCCTATTTAATAAAAGGTGTTATTAAAACTGTACATCTATATATACACAAAAATGAAAATAGATCCTTATTTCATCCTTCATAAAAGAATAAACTCAAAAGGAATTAAAGACTTAAAACTATAAAACTACTCGAAGAAAACACAGGGGTTAGGAAAGGTTCCATGACATTGGTCAGGGCAATTATTTCTCGGATATGACCCAAAAGCACAGGCAATGAAAGTAGAAAATAGACAAATGGGATGGCATCAAATCAAAATGCTTCTGCACACAAACAAAACAATAGAGTGCAGAGACAACCACAAATTGGGAGAAAATATTTGCAAATCATGCACTGAATAGGGGCTAATATCTAATATATTTATATGTCTAAATATATAACAAACTACTCAATAACAGAAAGGCAAATAACCCTATTGAAAATGGGCAAAGGATCTGAACAGACATTTCTCAGAAGAAGACATACAAATGGCCAACTGATAAATGAAAAAATGCTCTACATCACTAATCAGAGAAATGTAAATTAAAACCAAAATGAGATACTATCTCACACCTGTTAGAATGGCCATCAGCAAAAAAAGATGAAAGTGTTCTTATACTTTATATTCATAGCTAGAAACTAGTTTAACTATCAGGAAAAATAAAATGTCAAAGCAAGAAATAAAAGCATCTGTCTATGTCTCTACTTAGATTCTACTCATGGCCCACACCAATATTCATTTCCCCAACAAAGCTAAACTTCTTCCCCCACTACCTTCACATGCTTTACAGAGCCAACAGTAATTAATATAGAATATGGCTGACTCTCACAGCACAGAGACAATGTTTAAGAAGCCACACAGTTAGGGGAGATTTTAGCCTTTCAAGTTTCCAAAACAAGTTGTCCTCCTTGCAGATAAAACAGTCCAAACATGTAGTCATGCTCAACTTCTAAGAGCTGTTAGATAATTCTCATACTTATCTGTACTCAAAAATCAGAAATGGGTACAGCCCAGTATTAAAAAGCATTTCAGCTAGTTTACTGAAAACTGACGGAAAAATAAAAGCCAAACTACAAAACAATCAAATCTGCCTCAGACATGTTCCCCTTGAACTTAACTCCCATTTCTTCCCTCTTATCTCACTCCCAACTCAATCAGAAGTAACAGTTCCTTTTAGATATATACCCAGTAATGAGATCACTGGGTCTAATGAGAGTTGTGTTTTACGTTTTTTTCAGAAATCCCCACACTGTTCTCCACAGTGGCTGAACTAATTTATACCCCTGCCAACAGTATATAAGTGTTCCCTCTTCTCACAGCCTCGCTAGTATCTGTTGCTCTGACTGGTGTAAAATGGTATCTCATAATGATTTGGATTTGCATTTCTCTGATGATTAGTGGTGTAGAACATTTTTTCGTATGTTTGTTGGCCACTTGTATGTCTTCTTTTGAGAAGTGTGTGTTCACACCTTTTACCCATCTTTAAAAATTAGTCTTTATTAAATGTATGTATAGCTCACATTTACTTCAGTGTTTAATATTATAAGTGTTTGGGGTCTTTATTTAAAAGTGACCAGAAATATGCCATATGAACTTAACTCTTGTTTATATCAATTAGCCTATAGCAAAATTCATTTTGTTATATGTTGTTTTAATTAAAGTTGCAGGTCTCTTTTTTTTTTTTTTTTAAGTTCAGGGGTACAAGTGCAGGTTTGCTACATAGGTAAACTTGTGTCATGAGGGTTTGTTGTGCAGATTATTTCATCACCCAGGTATTAAGCCTAGTACCCATTAGTTATTTTTCCCGATCCTCTCCCTCCTCTCACCCTCCACTCTCTGAAAGACCCCAGTGTGTTTTGTTCTCCTCTATGTGTCCACGTGTTCTCGTCATTAAGCTCCCACTTTTAAGTGAGAACATGCGGTATTTGGTTTTCTTTTCCTGTGTTAGTTTGCTAAGGATAATGGCCTCCAGCTCCATTCATGTCCCTGCAAAGGACATGATCTCATTTTTTTTTATGGCTTCATCTTTTGACCATTTTTTTCATGAGGCTATTTATTTTTTGCTTGTTGAATTGTTTAAGTTTCTTGTATTAGTAGGTGCTGGATAAAAGACCTTTGTGGAATGTATAGTTTGCAAATATTTTCTCCCATCCTGTAGGTTGTCCGTTTACTCTGTGGAGAGTTTCTCGTGCTGTGCAGAAGCTCTTTAGTTTAATTAGGTTCCACTTGTCAATTTTTGTTCCTGCTGCAATTACTTTTGAGGACTTAGTCATAAATTATTTGCCAAAGCCAATATCCCGAATGGTATTTCCTAGGTTTTCTTGTACGACTCTTACAGTTTGAGGTCTTACATTTAACTCTTTAATCCATCTTGAGTTAATTTTTATATGTGATGAAGGTTTTTTGGGGGTCCAGTTTCATTCTTCTACAAATGGTTGGCCATCTAGCACCATTTATTAAATAGGGAGTCCTTTCCCCATTGCTTATTTTTATTGATTTTATTGAAGATTGGATGACTGTAGATGTGTGGCTTTATTTTTGGATTCTCTATTCTTCTCCATAGGTCTATGTGTCTTTTTGTACCAGTACCATGCTGTTTTGGTCTCTGTAATAATAAATTGTTCTACCAAAAAGACACATGCACTCATATGTTCATCACAGCACTATACACAATAGCAAAGATTTAGAATCAACCTAGGTGTGCATCAATGGTGGCCTGGATAAGGAAAACATGGTACATATATACCACGGAACATTACACAGCCAAAAAACAAACAAAATCATGTCCTTTGCAGTAACATGGATGCAGCTGGAGGCTATGTAAGTGAATTAAGGCAGGAACAGAAAAGCAAACACCACATGGAAAAGACCTATGGAAAAGAATAGAGAATCCAAAAATAAAAATAAAGCCACACATCTACCGTCATCCAATCTTCAATAAAAATAAGCAATGGGGAAAGGACTCCCTATTTAATAAATGGTGCTAGGTGGCTACCCATTTGTAGAAGAATGAAACTGGACCCCCCCAAAAACCTTCACCACTAGCTCTAACTTATAACTGGGAGCTAAACATTGGGTACACATGGACATAAAGATGGCAACAATAGACACTGGGGACTCCTAGATGGGGGAGAAAGGGACAAAGATTGAAAAACTAACTATTGAGTACTCTTCTTAGTACCTGGGTGAGAGGATCAATCAAACCCAAAACCTTAGCATCATGCAATATACCCAGATAACAAACCTACACATGTACCCCTGAATCAAAAATAATAGTTGATTTATTAAAAAAAAAAAAAAGGAAGTAACAGATTCTGGATTCTACACCCTCCTTTTGTCCCATGGACAAAGACTTATCACAGAGTCTGTTCAGGGCAATGAAAAAAGGAAAAAAAAAAAAAAACAAACCCCTTTAAGTTATCTCTCTTACTGGTTGCCCTAAGTTTCAAACACCTCCAAAGCCTACAGACATAGGTCATTTCCTAAGAAACACACGAAGGAAACTAACATTGATTAAGTGCTTAATATGGGTGCAGGTGTGTGTACAATCAGAACTCAATAGCCTTTTGAACTAATGAGAAAACTGAGGACTAGAGATATAAAGTAATTTGCCCAGGTTTATTCAGCCAGCCAGTGGCAGAGCTGAGATTCAAATCTGTCTTGGACAGCTTGGGCTGCCATAGCAAAATATGACAAACTGGGGTGCTTAAACAGAAATATATTTTCTCATAATTCTGAAAGCTGGGAAGTCTAAGATCAAGGTGCCAGCTGACTCAGTCACTGGTGAGAACTCTCTTACAATAATAAGCATTTGTGTATTGAAACATATCTAAACCTAGAAAAAGTAATGTGATACACTACAAACTAGCTTGGTGATAGCAATTTTTCAACCCCATTATAATGTTATGGGACCACCATCACATACATGGTCTGTTGTTGACCAAAATGTTGTTATGTGGCATATAAGTGTATTTCATTCTTTGCTTGGTTCAATCAAGAGCAAGGAACTCTGTTAATAATTTTGTTAAAAGAATTTTATCCTCATTTAATTCACAGATGTGAAAAAATTTCATAGTCAATATGCAAACTGCAAAATTTGTATTATATGACACATAATAAATGAAGTCTGATAAATTTATTTTCAACTGTAAAAATGAAACAACTGGTAGCCAAAAGTAGTATGCCTGTTTGCCAGTTTTATTTTTGCATATGTTGCGCATTCTGATTTTATTAGGTAACACATGCTTCATTCAGTAACAAGCTAACACACTGCCCAGAGCAGAGAGCCCTGAGCTAGGACTCAAAAAAATTGGATGCCCATTCTGGCCCTATGGAGATAAAGAACTAGGCAGACTCCATCTATAAACCTGAATTCCCCCTACTATAAAGTGGGAATTAACTCCCCTCTTCTGGACAATTTTACACAACTATCACCAATAATATCAGAGGGAAGGAGGCGGAAGAAGCAAAGTTCAAACCAATAGCTAATTCCATCTCTTCAAATACTAATAAAAAGATATGATTATAAAAGATCTTAGAACAGGTAACCTGTTAAAGAAAACGTGGCACATATACACCATGGAATACTATGCAGCCATAAAAAAGAATAAGTTCATGTCATTTGCAGGGATATAGGTGAAACTGGAAACCATCATTCTCAGCAAACTAACACAGGAACAGACAACTGAACACCACATGTTCTCACTCATAAGTGGGAGTTGAACAATGAGAACATATGGATACAAGGAGGGGAACATCACACACCAAGACCTGTCAGGGGGTAGGGGGCAAAGGGAGGGATAGTATTAGGAGAAACAGCTAATGTAGATGACAGATTGATGGGTGCAACAAACCACCATGGCATGTATATACCTATGTAGCAAATCTGCACATTCTGCACATGTACCCTAGAACTTAAAGTATAATAAAAAAATAAAAATAAATAAACAAATTTAAAAAAGAATATGTATCCTGTATGCCAATACCGGTTCTCTTTTTGGTACCTGCTACATTAGGACAATTTCTTCCCAAACAATTATCAGAATAAGGCTTCTCAGCTTTGGACCCTTTTGAGGGAGGACAATGGCAGACCAAAACAGCAGCAACATGACATGATTCCAATGAGAAGTCATAATTAACACTGAGATCTCACTGGCATTTCTAATTGAAATCTAAGAGCCTGTGCATTGTCCTTGTAAGGTACCCTTAACTATATAATTTAAATAAACTGTTTGGGAAAGCAATCATTAGGCTCAGAAATTAAAACATAAAAATAACTACAATTTTATTGACTGTATCAACTGTACTTCTGATGGAATGCTAGGTAGTTTACATTATTATCTCATTAAATTTTAAGATATATGATTTTCATAAATCATGTTTAAACAGGATAGAAATTTCAGCAAGGAGGTAACATAGCATTTACTGCCAAGGGCCCATAATTCCAGTTAGCTTTAGACAGGACATATATAAAAGACAGGAAGGAATCAGAGCCATTCATACCCTGGGCTGGGTATCCCTGCAGTATATTGAAACGTGTTTCCGTAAGTTTAACGTGTCAGACTACTAAATAGATATTAGGTATTCCTTGTGATGAGATCTGTAATCTATTTTCAAATATTTTTGCAGAGGGAGTGTCTAAGAGACCACACCTCAGGGATGGCTGACCAGCACTACGCAAGAAAGGCCATTCTCCAGAGGCAGTTAACGCAAGCTGCTCAGCTATCTCTATCTAAATCAACAACCGAGGCTTTAATACGCATACTAATGTCTGAAATGGGCTTTCAATGGTGAAATTAAAGTCATTCTGGATGTGTGGATTAGTTGCAATCTCTTAGAGATGCTCCACTCCTACCTCTTCCATAGCTAGAATAAGAGTCTACTGGGGGCTAATAGCTTTGTTCTTTAAGGAGGCTGCCTGAGGCCTAGGACCTAAACAGTACTGGGTGCAGCCACTGGCTGAGTTGACTTTCTAGATGTCTCGTGCAGACTATGAGGGTAGCAGATTCCTACATCTGTGCCAAGCTTATATCTGTCTGAAGCAAACCTTTCAGATAGATCACAGTGAGAGCCCCTATAAAGACAGAGAGGTAAACAACCTCAAGTTTATGAAGCAGGGTTTTCAAACTATTTTGCTTGAGATGGCCAGGAAATACCAGTGTAATATATATCTGTGTGTGGGGGAGGGTTCAGTCTGAAACTTGCTTCAGTTCGATCTGGTAGTAGGGTGACAATACTACTAGCTTATCTGAAAAGTTCTTGGGGATGGGTGAGGTGGCTCACGCCTGTAATCCCAGCACTTTGGGAGGCTGAGGCGGGTGGATCACTTGAGGTCAGGAGTTTGAGACTAGCCTGGCCAACATGGTGAAACCCTGTCTCTACTAAAAACACAAATTAGCTGGGCGTGGTGGCAGGTGGCTGTAATCCCAGCTACTCGGGGGGCTGAGGGATAAGAATTGCTTGAACCTGGGAGGCGGAGATTGTAGTGAGCTGAGATTGCGCCACTGAACTATGCCTGGATGACAGAGTGAGACTCTGTCTCAAAAAAAAAAAAAAAAAAAAGTAAAAGTTTTCACTTTACATTTGTTATCCAGGCAATATTATCAATGACATCCCCTTCTACTCTTAAAGCATCCCAGTTAGTATTTCTATCTAACCGTGACATTGTTGGGGGATAAAGCTGAAGCTTATGGAATTGCAAATTCTTTTGCAGCTACTGTTATCTATGAAAATGGACCTAAGATCTGTGAAGAGCACACTGACCCCTGAAATACAGACCAAACATTGTATAAAATATTTAATCAATTTTCACAGAAGTGAACTACCACTATGAAGCTGTAGGATACTCTTATAATATCAATTTATGGGAATAACAGGCCAAAATTATTTGAAATCAATCCCCCCACTAACAACAACTAAAAATGCTGAGTAAAACATGTTTGTAAAATATCATAAGGACGTCAAAGAGCTGACAAGATATAATTACCATGCTAAACAAAATGAAGAGCGAACTCAGAGAAGTGATCCAGCTCACAAACTGCTTTTGCCCTGAGTGTATTTGCCTATCCTAACAAATGTCAACTTTCTCTTGACAGTTTCACGGTGGGAGGGGCCAAATATCAAAGCCCAGAACCCACTCATCATAGAGATCCTAGACATACCCCACAATGAAATGGGACTCAAAGGACTATACTGGTTGTGCACATGTACCCTAGAACTTAAAGTATAATAATAATTAAAAAAAAGGGCTATACTGGCAGGGGAACCAACCCATTCAGTGGACAAACAGCACTGGCTGAAGGGACCCTCCTACAGCCCCCAGAGTGTGATTCAAGGTGTTCCTAAATCCACAGGGCCCCCAGACCCTAGCACACACACAAAAAGGGTAAATCTTCTCTGGAAGGCACTTTCATCTCAGACTTCAAATTACTATAAACCACAGGGTGAGATTTTTTCAGAGGTATTATAACTGTAGGCCAGTTTGAACATTACCAAATAGCCAGCAGCTCAGGCCTTCATTATAACTTTTATATACTAACACACACACAGGTAATTATTTGGGGATGCCCCCTTATATTTGCCGCATTAATAAACTTAGGAACCTGACCTCTTCTCTCCTCTCTGCCTTTTGAATGTATGTGTTGCTGAGAATGCTCCACATCTATTATTGTGGGAAATAACCTGTATTCAAATAACAGACTGAGCAAGTGGTGCTCAGCAGGACCAGGGTTAGAACTTTGATACCTAGAATCCAAACCTTACACACTAATTACTCTAATGGAGCACTTTGAAATATAAACATTACAAAGTAAATGAAAACCTAGAGTACTGACAGCAAAGAAGGAGAGAAAATGATTCTTGCTGTTTATTACAATATTACATATACTTTGTTTTAGATAAACCAATGCTGGTGGTAAAAAAAAAAAGCACAATCTTGGAGAAGCAGCATGTCTGAATGAAAAAAAAAAAAGTACTGGTTAATGAAGGGGCCTGAGTGCAAGTTCAATCCATTTCATTAATGAGCTGCGTGATACTGAGAGGGTAACTGGACCACTCACAGGTCTTATTTTGCCTATCGATAAAAATGCCACATAGCCAAAGAAAGACTAAGCAAAAAGAACAGATCTGGAAGCATCACATTATCTGACTTCAAACTATACTATAAGGCCATAGTCACCAAAACAGCATGGTACTGGTATAAAAATAGACACACAGAACAATGAAACAGAACAGACAACCCAGAAATAAAGTGAAATACTTACAGCCAACTGATCTTTGACAAAGCAAACAAAAACATAAAGTGAGGAAGGGACACTTTATTCAACAAATGCTGCTGGGATAATTGGCAAGACACTGTAGGAGAATGAAACTGGATCCTCATCTCTCACATTATACAAAAATCAATTCAAGATGGGTCAAGGACTTAAACCTAAGACCTGAAACTATAAAAATTCTAGAAGATAACTTTGGGAAAACCCTTCTAGACATTGGCTTAAGCAAAGACTTCATGACCAAGAACCCAAAGCAAATGCTACGAAAACAAAGATAAATAGCTGGGACTTAATTAAACTAAAGAGCTTCCGCGTGTCAAAAGGAATAGTCAGCAGAGTAAACAGACAACCCACAGAGTGGGAGAAAGTCTTCACAATCTATACATCTGACAGAGGACCAATATCCAGAATCTACAAGGAACACAAACAAATTAGCAAGAAGAAAACAAACAATTCCATCAAAAAGTGGGCTAAGGATATAAATAGACAATTCTCAAAAGAAGATATACAAATGGCCAACAAACATGAAAAAATGCTCAGCATCACTAATGATCAGGGAAATGCAAATCAAAACCACAATGTGATACCACCTTACTCCTGCAAGAATGGCCACATTAAAAAAAAATAAAAAAATAATAGATGTTGGCATGGATGCAGTGAAACGGGAACATTTCTACACTGCTGGTGGGAATGTAAACCAGTACAACCACTATGGAAAACAGTGTGGAGATTCCTTAAATAACTAAAAGTAGAACTGCCATTGGATCCAGCAATCCCACTACTGGATATCTACCCAGAGGAAAAGAAGCCATTGTACGAAAAAGATACTTGTACGTGCATGTTTATAGCAGCACAATTCACAATTGCAAAAATATGGAACCAGCCTAAATGCCCATCAATCAACGAGTAGATAAAGAATTGTGGCATATTCCATATGATGAAATAATACTCAGCTATAAAAAGGAACGAATTAATGGCATTCACAGCAACCTAGATGGAACTGGGGACTATTATTCTAAGTGAAGTAACTCAGGAATGGAAAACCAAACATTGTATGTTCTCACATTCATAAGTGAGAGCTAAGCTATGAGGATGCAAAGGCATAAAAAGTGATACAATGGACTTTGGGGACTTGGTGGAAGGGTGGGAGGGGGTGAGGAATAAAAGACTACAAATTGGGTTCAGTGTATACTGCTTGGGTGATGTGTGCACCAAAATCTCAGATCACCACTAAAGAACTTACTCATGTAACCAAATACCACCTGTTCCCCAAAAACCTATGGAAATAAAAAGTATTTTTTAAAAATGACGCTGGAGGTCTAGATAAATTCTGTGGCCACTTCTATATCCAAAATCAATGATGTTTATGCTTCTGTGGACTTCTCAGTGGAGGCATATCCTGAGAGAAGTCAAGTTTGCTCTAGAGGACACAAGCGATTCACACATGTAAATCCTGTTTGCAGACAATACACCAAGGCAGAATAGGACTTTACCTGCAGGAGGGCACAACCTCTTGCTGCTTTAGACTTGGAAGGCCACCATATTAAAAAAAAAAAAAAAAAAGTGTACAGGGTTTCAAAGGGACTAAAGCAATCACTTCACATCCTAATGGGATAAAGTTTCTGCATGATTCTGTATGACCCTTCAACTACTGCCTTTCATGCCATGTTATTGCTAGCGTTGCATGTTAAAGCAAGCAAATTTTCAATGAACTCTCACTGGCTTTACCACAGACACAGATGTCAGGCGGACTCTTGTTCATAAGGTTCTCATTATCAACTCAACCCGAGTTGAATATTTGACTGAAGGAAAGAACCATATCATTATTTTCAGATTTCATCCTATGACTTAACTGGGCTACATCTGCCAGCTTTAGAAACACCAAGTACTGCCTGGCGCCAGCCTTGGCTTTCTCTTCTATGACTATTACCCCAAATGTTTCAGCTTGAGGAAGTCTCCTCCCCATCAAAACAATTTAATAAAAACTTAAATTGTGATTAAGAGTTACTCATCAATTGACAGGGCATACCAAGCTTGTGCTATTTATGAATTATCCCACACAAGATTTTAAGCCCAACAAATAGAATCCACATTCATAAAGGGGTAAGCTAGAAAGCCAGTTAAATGCTTTTGTGATTATAAGGTCTGTGTTATTCTTGAAACCATATTTCTTTAATAGGTAAACTGGCATTCCATTGGATAATTCAATCTGCTTTAAATCTATTCTTAGGTTCTAGTCAGCTTAAGGGACACTCTGAATTTACACTTCATTACTCTATTCACCTTTGGGCAGTATCTCTCAGCATAAATATCATAGGAGGATATGGCATAAGAATGGCCGTCAATTGTACAGTAGAATCCAAGTATTAAAATATTGACACTAAAGCCATTTATAAAATGTTAAGAACCACTCTAATTCCAAACAGAAAATATTTCTGTTCATATGTTGCAAACCTCACTCCCATGTGAAGGTACAAGGAGACAGGATCCTAGGTGGTGGTCACTAGGTCGCGTGGTCATTAGGTCACAAGGGTAGAATTCTCGTGCGTGGGATCAGTCCCCTTATAAAACAGACACAAGAGAGCTCTCTTTCCTTCTTTCTGCCAATTGAGGATACATGGAGAAGATGGCAGTCTGCAACCTGAAAGACGGCCCTCACCAGAACCGAATATGCTGGCACCCTGATCTCGAACTTTCAGCCTCCTAGAACTGTGAGAAATAAATTTCTCTTATTTATCACCCACCAGTCTGGGGTACTTGGTTATAGTAGCCTGAACTAAGATAATAATGTCACATGATAATTAGACTGTTAGTAAGGTATATAAATAACACCACAGGCAAATTAATAGTAATCCTTCCAGAAACAATCATGGGAGATAGCTTGATCACACTTACGGGATATATACTAACCTCGGTTTACACAGAAACTCTAAGTTTGAAATAACATTACCAACAAACATCATATCCCTCAGCCCAAATTTTAATATTCAGAAGCTAAATTTTCATTTTGACACTTACCATGTTGTATGTCTTTCATATCTAAATGAAGGCTAGACATTAGTATTCCAACTGCTTGTGATCTTTTGTTGCTTAATAACTTGACAACCTGCTCGAGAAAGAAAGTAAAAGGGGAAAATGTTAATTTGAACTCCAATATGCTTACTAGCATTTTAAAAAATCCTAAATGAAGAACAAATTCAGAGAAAAGATCTCACGTCATTACCTAAAGTATTCAAAACAGTGTTTTTTTTAATGTTTGAAGAGAGCTTTTGGGTTTTATATCATAAATCTTCAAAATCCACCATTTTCCCCCATTATTCACCATCAGCCTCAAAGACATGTTTTTTAACCAGTCTTTTGAGAGCCTGATCTGTCAACAAGTAAAATTTCTAATGGTCTAGGAAATTAGTCTGGTCTCTGTAAAATCACAATTACACATATGATCATTTGCAGCCTGAGATTTGAAGTGTTCTTTTTTCTTTCAATGTGGAGCCTTGACACACTGAAACTTCAAACACGTCAGCAAGTGAAGCGCAAAATAAAAGTACACACATAGAGAATCTGCTAGATTAGTTTGGTTGTGTCATGAAAAATTTTTTTAAAAAAGTGCTTTCACTTGGGTCACATAGAAAGCTCACTATTTTACTGGAAGTTCCTCTCATTCTGCATTTGACCCACATTTTGGGGAGAACTTTCCTACTAATTAACAGAGGGATACAAGCATCAAATTAAAAGGGCTGCATCAGCACAATCTCAAGTCTGGATTTCCAGCAAGTCTTAAAGAATCAGGGCACACGATCCCATGCGAAGGGTTCCTAAAACAGAGGTGGGAAGGCTGTTACAGAACAGATAGATATTTTTTGACCATGTTTTCCAGACAACAGCATCACCAGGAAATTCTGCTTATGAAACTTATCCCAGGCCTGATCGTGTGAGGGGCAGCATTTTCTATTTACTCCCAGTGTTTTGTTTTAAATCTGCTTAGAAAAACACTGGAGGAAAAGGAAAGAAAGTGGTTATAGTCAAATTACCAGAAGTGACAGCTGCTCTAACAGCTATTGCATCTTTGTACCCTGTCTTCCCTTATGGTTTAAGTTGGGTCAATCAGGATAGTAATAAAATAATCATACCCAACTGTTACACAAAGTCACAGAGTAAAACAATATTCTTAATAGCAATAATAGCACTCTGGGTGCCCCAGCACGGATGGGGGTGAGGAATAAAACATAACACTTTCAGAAGGACCAACCACGAAAACCACTCTGATCTTTTTTGTTGTCGTTGTTTGTTTGTTTGTTTTGAGATGGAGTCTCACTCTGTCACCCAGGAAGGAGTGCAGTGGCACGATCTCGGCTCACTGCAGCCTCCGCCTCCTGAGTTCAAGTGAGTCTCGTGACTCAGCCTCCTGAGTAGCTGGGATTACAGGTGCATGCCACCATGCCCAGCTATTTTTTTTTTTTTTTTTTGTATTTTTAGTGGAGACCGAGTTTCACCATGTTGGCCAGGAAGGTCTCGAACTCCTGACCTCAGGTGATCCACCCACCTCGGCCTCCCAAAGTGTTGAAATAACAGGCATAAACCACTGCTGCCTGGCCCTGCCCTGATCATTTCTGAAAGCCTCTTGGTAAGGCACGATATCTCCCAAAAGGCGCTGCTTTTGCAAAAGAAAAAGCAACATATACATTTTGATTCTAAATGTTAACTAAACATTTTTCTAAATTCCACCTAGAAAGATGAGGTTAAAACTAGAATATGGGCCTATTAGTACAGCAAAGTATTTCTATCCATAGCATTGTCCTCTTAAGAGCTTAAAAAGTAGGAATTTAATATCAGAGAAGCAGAAGGTGTATACTCTGTCCTGAAAACCAGTTTGTAACCACAAGTCAGTGCAATCCGGGCTGAATCATGCTGCTTGATGAAAATGCTTTTATCAAGGTTTTCTATCATCTTCTGGTTTCTCAATGCAATAGGCATGTTTCAATCCATCTATCATTCGACCTCCCTATAGTATTGACATGTTGATCACACCCTTGTAGTAACTTCTCTTCCAGGGCTCCTAACATTTCTTCTCAGTTCTTTTGAAGATGAATTATTCTGATTTCACCTTAAATATTTGCGTATCCTAGAGTTCTGTTCTCTATATCTTATTTTCGTCGCATTATAACCTATTCTCATCACATTATAACCTATAATTTCTCCTGTAGAGACATACATGTCTGCATCTTCAACTTGGCAGTCTCCTACTTCGTGAAAAGACATCTCTATTTAAATTGTCCCCATAATCTCCATTTGACATGTCTAAAATGACACACATATCAGTTCCACCCCAACACCACCAGCCAGCTTCTTCTCCTTTATGCTATATATTGAGATAAAGGTACCACTATTCTTCATCCACCTACCAATGTTAGGAATCTAGAAACCAGTCAAGACTCCTACCTCCCCTTCACCTGCATACTCTGGTCTGGTATCAAGTCCTGCCAATTACAGCTGCTCTGTATTTGCGGAAACCACCCCTCCTCCTTAACTCTATTTTCAGCATTTAGTTCTATACTTTATCTTACATAGATAAATGCAAAAGATTTCTGATTGATCTCCCAAACTCTAGTCCAGTGGTTCTCAAAGTGTGTTCCTTGGACAAATGGGCACCATCATCACCTGGGAAGTTATCAAAAATCCAAGGAAAAGTTAGAGGGGAGTTTCAAGATGGCTGACTAGAGGCACCTGGTACTCGCCTCCTCCACAAACAAGAACTGAAATAGTGAGTAGATATCACAGGTCAAACAGATCACATAAGAGAGAACATTGGAATTCAAGAAATAAGTGACAGGTAACATGGGAGGCAAAGAAGAAGAGGGAAGTGGGGCAGTCTGCTCAGCCAGGATCGGCTGGGAGCTAGAGAGGTTCTCTAATGTGATTAAGGTTCTCCAGGCTCCCTCATGTGGTAAAGTTAAGTGAGCGACCCCAGCAGCCCACATTTCCACCACAGACTCCTGCAATCGTAGCCATGGGAGAACCCCGCGGCCTGCACAGGCCCTGAGGCTAACATTGGGAGCCACCCGGAGATCAGGCAGCGGCACCCCTCCAGAGGGAGCGCGCACTGAGTTCCACTCACCTGCTGTGTCACAAGCAGTTACAGGAGGGCACTGTTTTGAAATGTCAGCCCCCACCAGACTGCATCCTGGCCTGGGGCCCAATAGCCCCTGCATCTCCACATCCCCGGGGCTCCCCTGATATCCTCCAACCGCAGCCAGGGCCAAAGCACAAGCCTTTGCCAACGACCCTGCTGCCCCTAGCAACAAGGCCTCTGTGCATTTAAGAGCACCCTGAGGATGGGGCACCCCTCTTGCAGCCGCCATATGGAGCCACAGCACAAGCTCCCCCAGTCACCTGTTTACAACTGCTGCCATGGTAACTCCACCCTCCCCAGCAGCAGGGCCTCAGGGCCACCACACAGTCGCTGCCACCCCCATCCAGCTATTCTGCCAGGGGTAGGGGGGACCTGGGGTCCACCCCTATCCTACTTACCACAGCCAGCACCCACACGTACCACCTAGGGGCCAGAGAACAGGACCATTTAACCATGTTAAAACCCATCCCACTCCCCCAGAGCCCAAGACCACCACCCAGAGGCTTGGGAATGGCCCTGCCCCATTCACCACCATTGACACCTGAGCACTCCTTCTGAGGGCCTGAGGACAAACCCACCCAACCTACTGCTAACACCACAGCTAGCACCCACCCACCCACACCATCCACTCACCCATGCCACCTGCAAGCCTTGAGACTGCCCCGCGTGGCCTGTCATAGCCACTGCAACACCAGCGCAAACCACTTGGGAGCCTAAGGCTTGTCTCACCACTACTACTGCGTCCCTCAGCACGATGCCCACTGCCTAGGAGCCTAAGGACCCTCCCAGCCACCCAGCCCACTTCTTCCACTGCTGGCACCCAAGCAAGCCACCTGGAGGTCCAACTGGCCTGACTGAACCTGCTAATATCAGGGCCAGCATACACCACCCTAAGACCAAAGGACAGGCATGCTCAGCCTGCCACTGCCACCTCAAGCACCTGCCAGTGATTGAGGACTGGCCCACCTAGCATCCTCATCACCAGCAAAACTTTACCATGACCTCCACTAACAACCACACCCTAAGCCACTGAGGAAATTACAAGCACTACTGACACTTACAGATGAAAAAAATCATACAGAGACTACACTGCTGTATTCATCCAGAATCAAAGGCAAAATGCTACATCAAACCAACACCACAGATACATCTTCAGGAAAAAGTCCTCCCCTATAAAAGCAAATTCAAAAAAGTTGGAATAAGTGACTGTTATACCAGATGCACAAATATCAATGTAAATAAACAATAAACATAAAACAAAGAGATATTACACCTCCAAATGAACATAATAATTCTCCAGCAACAAATTCCAATGAAAAAGACATTCATGAAGTTCCAGAAAAAGAATTCAAGATAATGATATTAAAGAATCTCAGTGATATACAAGAAAATTCATATAAACAATACAAAGAGATTAGAAAAACAATTTAGGATATGAATGAGAAATTTATCAAAAAGATAGATATCGTAAAAAAGAACCAAACAGAAATTCTGGGATGGAAGACTTCATTGAATAAAATACAAAATACATTTGAAAGCTTCAGCAATAAACTAGATTAAGCAGAAGAAAGAATTTTAGAACTTGAAGACAGGTCTTTTGAAATAACCTAGTCAGATAAAAATAAAGAATAAAGAATAAAAATGAATGAACAGGCCAGGCGTAGTGTCTCACGTCTGTAATCCTAGCACTTTGGGAGGCTGAGGCAGGCAGATAATGAGGTCAGGAGATTGAGATCATCCTGGCCAACATGGTAAAACCCCATCTCTACTTAAAAAAGTAAAATAAAATAAAATACAAAAATTAGCTGGGTGTGGTGGTGCATGCCTGTAATCCCAGCTACTCAGGAGGCTGACGCAGGAGAATCGCTTGAACCAGGGAGTCAGAGGTTGCAATGAGCCAAGATTGCACCACTGCACTCCAGCCTGGTGACAGAGTGAGACTCTGTCTCCAAAAAAAAAAAAAAAAAGTGAACAAGACTACATCACACATGGGACACCATAAAGCAAACAAATATTTGAATTTTCAGTGTCCCAGAAGATGAAGAATAAATGAAAGGGATCAAAAACCTACTTAGTGGAACAATAGCTAAAAAAAATTCCCAAGTCTAGTAAGAGATTTAGACATACAGATACAGGAAGGTCAGAAATCCCCAAATAGATACAATTCAAAAAGGTTTTCTCTGCGGCACATTAGAGTCAAACTGTCAAAAGTGAGAGGCAAAGAACAAATTCTAAAAACAGCAAGAGATAAGCATCTAGTCACTTATAAGAGAACCACCCCCCCCGTCAGAATAACAGCTGATTTCTCAGCAAAAACCTTACTGGCCAGGAGAGAACTGAATGATATATTCAAAGAGCTGAAAAAAAAAAAACTGCCAGCCCAAGATACTCTTCCCAGCAAAGTTACCCTCCATAAATGATGGAGAAATACAGTCTTTCCTAGACAAGCAAAAGTTGAAGGTACTAATCACCAAAAGACTGGGCCTACAATAAAAGCTTATGGTAGTCCTACACCTGCAAGCAAAAGAATGATATCCACCATCATGAAAGCATGCAAAAGTATAAAACCTACTGGTAGAGCAAATGCACAAATAAGGAAGAGGAAGGATCCAAATGTTGCCACTATAGAAAACTACAAAACCACAATGATGAACAATAAGAGAAAAAGAAAGGAAGAAAGGATATACAAAGCAATCAGAAATCAGTTAAGGAGGCCGGAAATAGTGGCTCACACCTGTAATCCTAGCACTTTGGGAGGGTGAGGCAGGTGGATCACCTGAGGTCAGGAGTTTGAGACCAACCTGGCCGAAATGGTGAAATCTCGTCTCTACTAAAAATACAAAAATCAGCCAGGTGAGATGGCGGGCGTCTGTAATCCCAGCTACTTGGAAGGCTGAGGCAGGAGAACTGCTTTAACCCGGGAGGCGGAGGTTGCACTGAGCCGAGATAGCGTCACTGCCCTCCAGCCTAGGCAACAGAGTGAGACTTCGTCTCAAAAATAAATAAATAAAACAAAATAAAATACAGAAATCAATTAAGGAAATGACTTGAATTTGCCCTTACATATCAATAATAACCTTGAATGTAAACAGATTAAACTTTCCGCTTATAAAGAAGATGATAACATGATAAAAGTTTCAATTCAGCAAGAGGATGATTGTACCCAACAACGGAGCACACAGATATATAAAACATATTATTAGATCTAAAGGGAGAGACAGACTCAAATACAATAATAGTAGGAGACATCAACATCACACTCTCAGCAACAGTAGGATCATCTAGACAGAAAATTAACAAAGAAATCTAGGATTTAAACTGAACTTTAGACCAAATGGACCTAACAGACATTTACAGAACATTGCATTCAACAGCTAGAGAACACACATTCTTCTCATCATCACATGGAACATTCTTCAGAGTAGATAATGTGTTAGGACACAAAAATATCAACACATTTTAAATATCGAAATCATATCAAGTATCTTCTCAGATCTCAATGAAATAAAAGTAGAAATCAGCAACAAGAGGAACTTTAGAAACTGCACAAATACATGGAAATTAAACAACCTGCTCCTCAATGACTACTGAGACCAGGAAGAAATTAAGGAAGAAATAAAAAAAATCCTAGAAGCAAATGAAATTGGAAACACAAAACACCAAAACCTATGAGATACAACAAAACTAGTACTAAAAGGAAAGCTTAAAATAATAAACGCCTACATCAAAAAAGTAGAAAGATCTCAAATAAACAATCTAACAGTGTATATCAAGGAACCAGAAAAGCAAGAACAAAATCAGTAGGAAGAAATAAGTAATGAAGATTAGAACAGAACTAAACAAAATAAAGACTAAAAAAACCCACAAAGAATCAACAAAATAAAGTTAGTTTTATGAAAAAATAAACAAAATTGATAAACTGCTAGCTAGACTAACCAAGAAAATGAGAGAAGACCCAAATGAACAAAATCAGAAATTAAAAATGAGACATTACAACTGATACCACAGAAATATAAAAGATCATCAGAGACTATTATGAACAACTATACAATAATATACTGGAAAATCTAGAGGAAATGAATAAATTCCTGGACACATACAATCTACCAAGATTGAATCAGGAAGAAATAGCAAACCTGAACAGACTAACAATGAGTTGTGAGATTGAATCAGTAATAAAAAGTCTCCCAACAAAGAAAAGTCCAGGACCAGATGGTGTCACTGCCAAATTCTACAAAACGTACAAAGAACACTAATTTTCCTCAAACTCTTCCCACCCCCCAAAAAAAATAGAAGAGAAGGGAATGCTCCCTAACTTATTCCACCAGGTCAGCATTACCCTGATACCAAAACCAGACAAGAATACAACAAAAAAGAAAACTACAGGCCAATATCCTGATGAACAGAGATGCAAAAATCCTTAACAAAACACTAACAAGTTAAGTTCAACAGCACATCTAAAGAAAATACCATAATCAAGTGGGATTTATCCCAGGGATGCAAAAATGGTTGTACATATGCAAATCAATAAATGTGATATATCAAATCAAGAGTGAAAAACAAAAGCCATATGATCATCTCAATGGACACAGAAAAAGCATTTGATAAAATTCAACATCCCTTCACGATAAAAATTCTCAATAATCTAGGTATAGTAGGAACATACCTCAACTTAATAAAGGCATATATGGCAAACCCACAGCTAACATCATACTGAATGGGGAAAAGATGAAAGCCTTTCCTCTAATAATTGGAACAAGACAAGGATGCTCACTTTCACCACTCCTACTTAACATAACATAGTGCTAGAATTCCTAGCCAGAGAAATCAGGCAAGAGAAAGAAATAAAAGGATTCCAAACTGAAAGACAGGAAGTCAAACTGTTTCTCTTTACAAATGACATAAGCTTTTATCTAGAAAATATAAGATGCCACCAAAAAACCATTAGTTCTGATGAACTCAGTAAAGTTGCAGTATACAAAATCAACATACAAAAATCACTAGTTCCTACAGAACAATAATGAACTAGCTGAGAAAGAAATGAAGGCAATCCAATCTCAAATAGCTACAAAAAATAAATAACTTAGGAATAAATTTAACCAAGAAGACAGAAGACCTCTGTAAGAAAAACTACAACACATTGATGAAAGAAATTGAAGAGGACAGAAACGAATAGACATTCCATGCTCATGGACAGGAAGAATAAATATTGTTGAAGTGACCCTACTCCCCAAAACAATCTCCAGATCCAGTGCAATCCTTATCAAAACAATGACATTTTTCACAGAAATACAAAAGCAACCGTAAAATTCTTATGGAGCCAAAAACAAACCTGAATAGACAAAGCAATCCGGAGCAAAACGAATAAACAAACAAAGCTGGAGGTATCACACTGCCTGACCTCAAAATATATTACAAGGTTATAGTAATCAAAACTGTATGGTATTGATATAAAAACAAACACATAGACCAATGGAAAAGAATAGAGAACCCAGATATAAATCCACATATTTACAGGCAACTGATTTTCAACAAAGACACCAAGAACATACATGAGGGAAAAGACACCCTCTTCAATAAATTGTGCTGGAAAAATTGGATATCTATATGCAGAACAATGAAACTTGACCCTTATCTCTCACCATATACAAAATCAGTGCAAGACGGATTAACAACTTAAAGGCAAGACTCGAAACTATAAATCTACTAGAAGTAAACAGAGGGAAAATACTTCAGGAAATTGGTCTAGGCAAAGATTTTATGGCTAAGACCTCAAAAGCACAGACAACTAAAACAAAAATAGACAAATGGGACTATTTTGAGCTAAAAAGCTTCTGGACAGCAAAAAAACAATCAACAGAGTAAAGACATTGCCTGTTTAATGGGAGAAAATATTTGTAAACTATTCATTCAACATGGGACTAATATCCATATATGAGGAACTCAAACAACTCAACAGTACATAAAAAAATGAATAAGTAAGTAAATAAATAAATAAATAATTCATCTCCTTTGCCCACTTTTTAAGGAGGATATGAGTAGACATTTCTCAAAAGACAACATACGAATGGCCAACAGGTATATGAAAAAAACTGCTCAACATCACTAACCATCAGGAAAATGCAAATCAAACACAATGAGATATTATCTTACCCAGTTAAAATGACTATTATTTAAAAAAATAGATTCTGGCAAGGATGTGAATAAAAGGGGATTTAAATTAGTACAGTCACTATGGAAAACAATATGGAAATATTTCAAAAAACTAAAAATAGAACTACCATGTGATCCAGCAATCCCACTCCTGGGTATGTACCCAAAGGGAAAATAAATATTAAAAGGATATCTTCACCCTACGTTTACTGCAGTACTGTTCACAATAGCAAAGATATGAAATCAACCTGTGTCCATCAATGGACAAATAAAGAAAAAATATTTTTAAATATATATAACATGTATGTTATATATATATATATATATATATATATCCAATCACATGTATGTACTATAATGTATCCAATAACATGTATGTTATATATATATATATAATCCATAAAACATATACATACATACACAACAGAATATTATCCAGGCATAAAAAAAGAATAAAATCATGTCATTTGCAGCAACACGGATAGAACAGGAGGTTCTAAGTGAGATAAGCCAGGTAAAGAAAGTGAGAAAAGCCTTAAGTGAGATAAGCCAGGTAAAGAAAGACAAGTATTGTACACTCTCACTCATATGTGGGAGTGAAAAATGTTAATCTCATGGAGGTAGAAAGTAGAACAAAAGATATCAGAGGCTGCGTAGGGTGGGTGGTGGAGGGGGAGGTGATGAGGAGAGATTGATTAATGGGTACAAGCATTAGATAGAAGAAATACGTTCTAATGATAGAGGAGGGTGAGCATAGTTAACAACAATGTATTATATATTACAACATAGCTAGAAGAAAGGACTTGAAATGTTCCTAACTCACAGAAATGATATATGCTCAAAATGATGGATACTAAATATCCAGACTTCATCACCACGCATTCTATGCATGTAACATCATAAATATGTATAAATATGATGTATCATAAATATGTATAAATATTATGTATCAATAATAAACATTGAACATGCAAGTTCTCAGGCCTCATCACAAACCTACTAATCAGAACATGAGAGTAGGAACCATCACTCTGAATTTTGAAAGCCTTCCAAGTAATTCCAAAGCCACCCGTTTCATCTCATCCCTTCCTGTCCATTCTCCAAACTGATACCCAAGTACCCTCTCTAAAAATGCTGATATCTGCATGTTGCTTTTTAATCATAGGTTTTAAACCCAATTGGCTCATGTTTAAGGGTTAGTCCTTTAAAAAGTCTTATAGAATCTTTCACATTTCATATATGGAATTTGCTTTTTTTTTTTTTTTGAAATGGAGTTTTGCTCTTGTTGCCCAGGCTGGAGTGCAATGGCACGATCTCAGCTCACTGCAATCTCCGCCTCCCAGGTTCAAGCGATTCTCCTGCCTCAGCCTCCTGAGGAGCTGAGGTTACAGGCATGCGGGACCATGCCCAGCCAATTTTGTATTTACAGCAGAGATGGGGTTTCTCCATGTTGGTCAGGCTGGTCTCAAACTCCCAACCTCAGGTGATCTGCCTGCCTGGGCCTCCCACAGTGATGAGATTACAAGCTTGAGCCACCACTCCCAGCCTGCTTTTTCTATTATAATTCAAACACACTTGATCACAAACTGGATTTTACATTTAAATGCCTAAGATTTTACATAGGAACAATAATCATCTACCACCTTTCAGAAGGCAGACATTCAGAAGAGGACAGATGTCTAAAAGGATGGATTCCACAGTGTCCTTAAGTAACCCAAACTTTGCATTACGAACCACTGCTATGATCTGACCTTTTTTTCCAACACCTTGGAGAAGAAGAACCTAAAGTTAGAACATTCTTAGAATTCAGTGACCACAATACAATGAAGAGGAGAGTACACTCTTCTAAGATGATCTCAGAACTGAGGCAAAACGCAGAAAATGCAGAATTAACACATTTGAAATCTATAAAATTAGAACTTATAATCAGAAAAAAGAATTATCTTGAATCTGCTTTAATGTCACGTCTCTTAATAATTCTCTTAATAAAGTTATCATCTCAGGCTTCCCTAGAAGGCAGGACTGTGTAGAGATTATGAACACGGTCTCTGTAAAATAAAGCAGTATTTCTCAAACTTCATGTGTACTTGAATCATCTGGGATCCTTTAAAATGCAGATTCTGATCCCTAAATCTGGGTGGGACTGAGGTTCTTTGTTTCTAACGAGCTTTCGGGTGATGCCAGTTCTTCTGGTGCACAGATTGTGAGGTTCTCCTACTTGCTTTCTAATGTGTTGGAGAAAAGCTACCCCAACATCCTAAAGCCTCAGTTACCTCCCCTAGAAAAATGATTAAAACAGTATCAAATTCCAAAGACTGCAGTGGATATTCAGTGAGGTACTCTTAGTGGCATGGTTATAGCTGATTGTAGCCTCTAACTCCCAGGCTCAAGTGATCCCTCCCACCTCAGCCTCCTAAGTGGCTGGGATTACAGCCATGTTCCACAGCGCCAGCCTACATCCTACTTTTATCCAGGGATAGCCATATGACTAAGTTACGGACAACAGAATGCGGAGAGCGATAAAAGCGCAGCCTTCAAAAGGCTGGCTGGCCCTCTACTTTTTTTATTTATTTTTATTTTTATTTTTTGAGAGGGAGTCTCGCTCTGTCGCCCAGGCTGGAGTGCAGTGGTGCGATCTCAGCTCACTGCAACCTCCGCCTCCTGGGTTCACGTGATTCTCCTGCCTCAGTCTCCCGAGTAGCTGGGACTACAGGCATCCGCCACCATGCCCGGCTAATTTTTTGTATTTTTAGTAGAGACAGGGTTTCACCATGTTAGCCAGGATGGTCTCGATCCCCTGACCTCGTGATCCGCCCGCCACGGCCTCCCCAAGTGCCTGGATTACAGGCGTAAGCCACTGTGCCTGGCTGGCCCTCTACTTTCTCTATCCTTTTCCTCTCAGGCTGAGGCAGAATTATGGAAGTGAGCCATCATCAGTTATACTATGCCCTGAGGGTGAAGCAACAGAAGGCCTGGGGAATGAATCTCTGGACAACCTGATGGAACACAGGCACTGCACCTCCCTGGGCACTTACCTGCCTAGATTTCTCCATGAGAAAGATAAAATTAACTTTTCATCTTTTACAAGTCACAACAGAGACCACCAAACCAGTATTTTAACTAATACCCCTACTACACATCAGGCATTGTGCTAGGCAGTAGGGTAAATGCACGGAAAACCATAAAAAAACCAGACACTTACCATCCTCTGCCTAATGAGCTCTATTTCACAACCCCTAGAGCTCAGTCAGTGATACCATGATCTCCAGTCATCAGGACGGGAACCTTTGACTAACTTCCTCTGCATTTCTGGTATCCAGCCACACATCAAGTTCCACTGATGCTTCCTTGTCTTTCATTCTTCTCTTTCACTACCACCACCCTGCTGCAAGTTCTCATCACTTCCTCCCAGAGAGTACGGGTAGACTGGGATTCTGCCTCTAGGATCTCAGTCCTGCTCTCAGCCCAGCATTCTGTACTGCCTTCATCCTGTCAGTCCCCTTTTAACAGATATTTAGTGGCCCCTGATAATGTATTTCTCTTCTATTTTCTATTTTCAAAATGACAAACTCTGACTATTCAGTGGACAGGAATGTTCAAGTCTCATTCCACTGTGATGCTTCTCCTGAACATCCCTGTACTTCCCACAGAACTCTTACAGGAGCTGACTTAGGAGCCACTTCTTTACTCTTTTGAGACTATATACTCTCCTACTGCAACATATACATGATAAAGTGATTTGGGGGCAATTTTCACTAAAGTATAATTACCTCTAGACAAACTCTGTGTCATATTGCTTACTGTAGTACTCAGCACAATGATTGATATATTGTAAGCATCCAAAAATGTCCGCTGAATAAGTAAACCTTGTTTAAACTGCTATGCCCAGCTTAGATGTCCCACAATAAACTTGGAAAAATGGTTAGACAACCAACCTTGGCTAGACATCAGAATTACTTAGGTACCTTCTTAAATAAAGGATCCTGCTCAACCTTCTGAAAAGTCAATTTTCTCTAGAGTAGGGCCCTGGAATATGTATGTTTTAAAAAAATACCACAGCTGATGCTGGTGCAGATTTGGGAACCACTGAATACTTCTTTTGAAAAGGAAGTATTTGAATAATGGTTGAACTGTGATTCTACTATTAAATTCAAGAACTGCAAGATAATATCTTCTGTAACTTAGAATCATATCAAGACATAGTAGAAAGTTTATGTGAACTATATTTATTACACAAGTAGCCAAAACCACATTTAAATAATTATTTGATCAGTCAACATGGTGTTTATTGCTAATTCGGAAGTTTAAACATAGTATGCATTTTATATGTGTCACATGGAATATTAGCTAATTAAGATGACATCAAAGAGCTCCACATTAAATATCCAATAGAGATAACTTGAAGTTTCTTGCAATTTCTTACAAGCTAGTAAAATCTTACAATTTCTTATAAGCTAGTAAAATCTCACAATTTTTTACAAGCTAGTAAATAATTTGCACACAGTCTAAATGTAGAGCCACAACAAAAGTTTTAGTTTCCTGATTCCTAGTTAAAAGAGCATATTGCTTTCTTCTGAAATGGCATGTCATGACCTTGCTGAAAAGTGGACATTAAATAAGGGATAAATGGCCAGATCCAATAAGGCAAATCTTTCTCTGAAGAGAAAAAGATAAGATTACTCAACGATAGAGATGAATTAAGGTAAATTTCAAAGCAGAACCTCAGAATGTGAAAACTGTTGTTTCTCAAACGACATTAGAGCACAAGGTGGTATATCCAGAGGTATGCAATGTATTCAAGGAATAAGAGCTATCAAATGCACCCAAGAATACCCTAATGACCAGGAGAATATAAGTAAATATGAAATAGTAAATCCAAAGTGAACAAGAGATGTAAGAATAGAAGGAAAGGCAAAGAGAACAATTCCCAAACTCAAGATTTCCAATGATTTGATCTGTATCAGAGTAGGAGATCCATATTTCAGGACATGTCTTTGCCTAAATTAGCATCCATGTAACTTTGGACAAGCTCCTTGGCCTCAAGATCTAAATTTTCCTACCTGTAGAATACAGTTAATAATCCATATGCAATATTCCCATAACTTGAGATAAACAAATTCGGTAAAGTATAAAATATTTTCAAAGCATAAAATGTCTTGCAAATGCCAGGTGCTAGTGTTTTATTTTGTAATCCAATAACCGGCAGTTATATTTATGATGTTGTAAAATCACTTGAGTTTATTCCAACAAGAGGAACAGCAGAGACAATAGAAGGCGATAAGAAATAAACATCTAAAATTAAGAAGGAGAACAACCCATACATTGGCCAACTCCTGCCCCTTGGGAATTTACAAAGTGTGATTTCTCCAAGAACTCTTTAGACATACTGTTGTTGGCTATCTCATAACCTTGATTTGGATTCAGTTTTCTTACTTTGGAAAGATAAATTCATCTCTAGATTTTTGACCCAATGAGAATCAGGAACCATGAGCCTTTTCTGAACTGTCTGATACTATTTCATGAAAACAGCAGTCATTTTAAATCTTAACTAGTCTACACTCAAAAGTGAAGAATGCTTGCATGAGATTTTGCAGAGCAAGAGGTTATCAGGGTTTTTTGTTTTTTGGTTTTTTTTTTCGGTCTACTCCCGCAACCAAGGAAGACTGCAGTCTTACTTACACTACCGTATTCTCCTACTCAGATTAATGGTAAGCCTCAGGGGAGGGTGGCTGATCTCACAGGCATCCAACAGCATTCCAAGGCACTGCAGACCACAGAAGGCACTGACACTGACCATGCCCACAAGTGGTATCTCCAGACTATCTGGTTGGCACCAGACAATCCTCTTTACTCGGGCAGCCTAGATTCAATCTCAGAAGCAAAGCAGAATTACAGTTTGCTAATTGGTGAGGTGACATTTGACACCTCTCACTGATTAAGAATCTAGAAGCCTGCTTCTGAACTTGGTCCCAGATGTGCCTCTTGGCAGAGGATCAAGCTATAGTGTGGGTGAAAGCGTCTTGCTTTGTTTGTCCTGCCTTTGGGTCTGAGTCAGCCTCAGAAGGAGACTGACAGCTGTGGAATTTGGTAAGGTTACCAAGAAGAGCCTCTTGTGCTCTCCTAGCCTGTCTCTCTCATTTGGTTGTCTTGATGTATATTTTAGACTTCAGTTTGGAGAGCTGTGTCTCCTGGTTGTAACATCATCTGGATGTTGTTCCTCAACTGAGTAGGTTGTTTCAATCTCTCCTGACACCATCTTCTTGGTTCCTGCTTTCATTCTTATTTAGTCTATGATCCTGATACCGGTCTCCTGGTCCCATCCCTCGGGTTGTTCTAACAAACTAGAAGCGAGAATTTCAAATATGTGCAAGTAAGTCTGCAGGACATCTTCCCACCAAGTAAAAACTAGTGTCCATCTGACTTCTCCATTGTTTCTTGATAACAATATCTCCCTCGACTATCTTTTGCCATTCAATATACCATTATAAATCACTGTTAAACCAGAAATCAAGTCAGACATGAAAGATGTGTCATTTTAAAAAGAAGCAAATGCATGTTATATAAAAGCGATTTGGTAAACTCTAAGACATACGTGTTCCAGTTGATTTTAAGAAAGGCACACTAGCCGGGCGCGGTGGCTCACGCCTGTCATCCCAGCACTTTGGGAGGCCGAGGCAGGCGGATCACGAGGTCAGGAGATCGAGACCATCCTGGCTAACACGGTGAAACCCCGTCTCTACTAAAAATACAAAAAATTAGCCGGGCGTGGTGGCGGGCACCTGTAGTCCCAGTTACTCGGGAGGCTGAGGCAGGAGAATGGCGTGAACCCGGGAGGCGGAGCTTGCAGTGAGCCGAGATCGGAGCTTGCAGTGAGGCGAGATCCAGCCTGGGCGACAGAGCGAGACTCCGTCTCAAAAAAAAAAAAAAAAAAAAAAAAAAAAAGCAAGGCACACTAAAATAAAGAAAATGATACCTACCTAGCCTACAAGATTAGCCACACTTATGATCCAACCCAATCAATGGTTAGATTCTTCTCTTAGAATAGAAGCTGTTAAACAAGAGGAGTAGCGCCATAGCCTTTTCTAAATACAGTCAAGTTGAATAGAGTAATTAAATGTCCCAGCAGCGTGACACGCATAAATCACATCTGTAAAAATAATAACTATTATGTATTGAGTCACAGAAATGAATGATGTTCAGTATGAAAAATGGCTGAAAGACCAAAGCCAGAGAGGCAGGCTGGGATTTCCTGTCAGCTAAGTCCGACTCCAAAGTTCACTTGTCCTCTGCTGTAGGCAGTCCCTGAGAGCCATGTGCACACACACCTCTGCCATAACACAACACTAAATACAGCACAGGAATTTGCTAACAAAAAACCAAGGGAACTTCTTAGGCTTTTTGATATTTTTCTTTAAAGGGATAAGTTTAAAAGAATTAGAAACTCAATTTCTTATTTATATTAACTTTTCCTTTCTTAGAAAAAGCTGAAACATTTAGGATGACCTTGACAAAAAAAAAAAAAATACAATTAAAAAAAAAATCCAGAGTTGAAAATACACCAAAGTGATTCCAAACAAACCGATGAAGAAACAAAATGGCATTAGGTATATATTTTATTAAAGTTTTTATTCTAGCAGGTTGCATTTCTAAATTTCACAGTTTGTTTAAAAATATCACAGTAACATGCACTATAATGCTGCAGTATCAGCAGGCTCTTAAAACAAAATGCCTTTCTAATTTAAACCAACTATCCTAAGTCTCCACTCTTTAAAGCAAAAAGAAAATATGCACAGATGTTTAAACTCCTTGAAATTAAAATAACATTACAATCTTTTATTCTTTGAACATATCTTTTTGCCAGTCTAGCCAATTTTGGCATGAAAAACATTTGCAAGATATAATTTGGACCTTTGCTATTTCAAATATCTTGGAAAGGAGAAAACAATGTTTCACCTATCTGGTTGCATACAAGTCTGCTGAGCTATATTTTTCCCTTCAGAATTCCCTCTAAAAATCTGGTTTTAGATATGTATCCTATCTATAATTTTCATATTATGTTTTCAGCACTTAGAATTCAGTTAGAAGCATCAAAGTTTACAATAAAAATTAAAATATAAGAAAACCAATACATTGTGAGTACCATATCTAAATGTTTCATGATATTGCCAAAAATATTTGGATATCAAGTATGTGTCTACAAAATACAGGCATCAGCATCTCACTTTGTACTTCGTTACCTCAATGAGAGATATTAATCATCACAAATAAAAGACGTGATGCAGATAATAAGGTTAATGACAACCACAAAGGAATAAAAGACTCTTATTGAGACCATGTGCATATTTATTATTATGTTGTAGCAAGTATGTATTCAGAGAACATTATTTGGTGCATAATAAAGGGCTTTAGTTTATTCTTCCTTGTAATCACTGCCAAAATCCAGTGAAACAGGTACCACTACGGTCCACATTTTACAGCAGAAGTGGCTGTTCAAGGTCACATATCCATAAAGTGGCAGAGCTAGGAAATGAGCCAGGCAGTCTGGTTCCAGGCTCTACCCCCTTGACCACTATTCCACACTACCCCTCAGCCATATGGAGAGCACACTCCTACCAAGGAATGAGACACACGATGCCTCATTTTCCCCACTATTTCCTTAACGCCCTGTGTTATCAAATATAATTAATATGGGCAGACGGAACATAAAGAGAATAAATTAGTTTTCAAATTGTTAACTAGAAAGCAAACCTTAGACGGTAAGGTCCATCTGAATATTCTGTCTTATGTATTGCTCAATTTCAGGGAAATTATGAAAAA
Source organism: Homo sapiens (assembly GCF_000001405.40). Classification (NCBI taxonomy): domain Eukaryota; kingdom Metazoa; phylum Chordata; class Mammalia; order Primates; family Hominidae; genus Homo; species Homo sapiens. The sequence continues at coordinate 240,239,950 of NC_000001.11, read as the reverse complement.
CAAATAACAACCAAAATAGTTCCCTTCCTTTGTAGTTATAACAACAACAAAATGCCTATGAGAAATTTAGATGAAAAGTTTGATAGAGAAAATGTTAAATATTCAGAAAACAAATGAATCACTGAGCATATGTTTATTGACTAGAATCACATAATAAACTTTTAATGATTTAGTAAATGGTCATTCGGTATTCAGGCGTTTTGCTTCACTTCCTGCTCTTTGGCCAATGGCATGATGTTTCTTTCTGGCCCTTTTATAGGGACAAGATTTGATTTCTTGCTCCATCCATAGAGTATGCTGGTGCTTTTAGCACTGTGAAGACACAAAGATGAAAACTGGATTTGACCCTATCCTATGGAGGAAGACATGTCCAGCTTCCTTGAAAGTCTACAATCTTTATTCCTAGAAATGACATACTGAATAAGCAAGTGGCTGATTCTTCAAAGACCTCCTAGAGTTTGGAAGTTAAAGAGAGATAAACAGTGGCATGTCAGTGAGTTAATTTATGATGCTCATTTTCAGAGAATAAAAATTTCAACATGTGATTTTAAGCCTTTACAGACCAAATAGTCTTCTTTCTGATGGCATCATTTTCAGAGATCATATATTTAGCATTTTTCCTTTCTTTAACAAATCCATTTGAAGAAATTTATCATATTGTGTCAAACAATTCTATCACATCCTCGTCCAACAATAGCCAAATCATTCATTATTCCTATCCCTGAAGACATCTTCAACTCTATTGTCCCAGAGTCTCAAATTAGCGTTTTGCTGTTCAATAAAAAGTTTTTCTAAAGTGGCCACTATTAAGAAATTTTAGTTTTTAAAATATTGTTATTCTATAGTAAAGTGAACGAAACTCAAGTATAGAGTTCATTTAATTATTGCTTACAAATGCATCATTGTAACTATCACTCAGATCATTGTATAGGACATTATCAGCACTCCTGAAGGCTCCATTTATACCTCCTTCAATACTCCCCCACACAAAAGTCTCCTTCTAACTTCTATCGTCACAGATAACTTCTGCCTGTTCTTGAGCATCATAAATGGAAACACTTTGTTTATAATGGCTTTTGCCTGTAAAATCCATATTGTTGTTGAGTATAACAGATTGCTATTTTTCATTGTTACTATTCCACCGTGTATCTAATATTGATAGATATTTAGAAGGTTTGCAGTTTAGGGTTTTTCAAGTAATGCTACTCCTATGACTACTGGGTCCTAGGGTAAATGTATTTGAACCTGAGTATTTACTATGAAGTAGATTTCCAACGTAATTGTACTTGTTTGTAACTCTAGCAGAGCAACTAATGAAATGAACAAATAAAAACTTCATACTTTCCAATAATTTTCTTAAAAATTTATCTTGTTATGATAAAATTATTAGCTACCTCAGAACAAAATCACAAGATTAAATAAGTCACGCAGGAGCCTATAAACTAGTTAAATATCTTGAAAAGTCATTATATGTGTCAGTGGTTTCTAATACCACATCTACAGATACATACACATGATGAAGAGATACACTGTTAGGTATTCACCAAATAAGTTTTAATGTCTTTACCCAAGATCACTGGCTGAACATTCAGAAGCAGTGGTTATAAGGATACACAATGTTAAACATATTTCAAGTTTTCATAAATATCTCTATTGAATATCTAATAGATAGCTAAATGATGTCATTCTAACTCCTAAATGTTCCTCGAATCAGTCCTTTCTTCTCAATCATCATTACCTTATTTTAACACCATTATCTTCCCCAAAGCACTACAGTCAGCTGCATAAAGGTATTTAGTTAAAAGTAAATTTGAATTTTCGATAAGTATACAAGCATTTGCTGGAAATGACTACAGGTGAATGTTTATTTCTGGGTTGGATTTTTCCAGCTAGTTCATTCTGCTTAATGCCTAGAATCTGTAGACAATGTGTTCATAGAAACAAACACAGCCAGATCAAAACCCTGAGGAAGGAAATCATCTTTTAAAAGACTCATTGAGAAGTCAAATAAAAGCAATTTTAGAATCAGATGCTATTTGGGATTATGAAAGTTTGTTTTCCCAAGCCTAGTGTAATTCTCTTAAATTTAAGGCAGCAAGTAGGCAAAGAAACTCAAGTATCCTCTAGAATTCTGCATGTATAACTCAACTCCAATCTCTCTCAAAGCCCAGTCTTATTCTGCAATTTGCCCCCTACCCTGCCCACCCCTCCCAAGATAAAGTACTAAGCCCAGTGCTTGGCACACAGTTATTCTTCAATAAACAGTAATGGAGTGAATTAATGCCACATGGAGTCTCTGATTATCTTAATGCTCCAATGAAATTCCCTTCTGTCACCACACCATGACTCAATCTGAGAGGAAGACGTGTCCCATTCTGTAAGTGATTCCATCCCAAGATAAAAAGACCAGCTGCGGTATTTAATTAGTCTATTTCGAAAAATCCAGAGAAGGGAAAGATACTGAAAATGCATATCAGTAAACAAAATGCATAACAGCAGTTCTACAGGGTAGGAAACTGATAACGGACAAGACCTTGACACTTAAAATCACATGGTCTGTGCAAAGGGGCAAGCTGGGGTCACCAGCAGCTGGTATGCAGAGCTGAGTCAAGGCTGACTTGAACAACTGTAAGCAGCTCTTAAAAAAAGATCCCTGACTGTTTTCTAAGTTGGTGGCAACTTATCCGACTATACCTGTTAATTATCCGCACAAGAACCATCAACAGGGACAGTCAGCAATCAAACAAACTCTTAGAAAGACAGAACTGTTAGCCCAGTCTTTAAATCATTGTTTTGTTTCATGAGATAAGAGGTAGAAATGTGGCTTAAGAAACTAAGATCCAAATCCTAGCCTACTCCATGACTATTCCCAGCTATGTGAAAAACAACAACAAAAACTCACATCCTTCCTGTCCTTAGCTACCATTAGTGGAAGCAATATTGACTTTGCTGAAGACATAAAGAATAAGTCACTTAACTTTGTAAAGGCACTTCCATAAAAAGTTAAACCCAAAGTAGCAAAAAGGAAAACAAAATCCCTGAAAGAAATCCCTGGAAGAGTTTAATTTTTATATGGCTGATATAGTTTGGATGTTTGTCCCCTCCAAATCTCACACTGAAATGTGATTCTCCACTGTTAAAGGTGAGTCCTAGCGAGAGGTGACTGGGTCATGGGAGAGGATCGCTCATGAATGGCTTTGTGCCCTCCTCATGGGAATGAGTGAGTTATCACTCTATTAGTTCCCACGAGATGTGATTGTTAAAAAGAGGCTGGCACTTCCTCCTCTTTCTCTTGCTTCCTCTCTCACCATGTGACATCCCTGCTCCCCTCTTCACCTTCTGCCGTGAGTAAAACCTTCATGGCAGAAGGTGATGAGGCCTCCTCAGAAGCTGAGCAGATGTGGGTGCCTTGCTTGTGTGGTCTACAGAACCATGAGCCAAATAAACCTCTTTTCTTTGTAAAATACCCAGTCCCAGGTATTTCTTTATAACAGTGCAAAACTAACACAGGGGTCTTTTCAAAAAGTCTAATGATTCTGGAACACATAATCTTTAATGCTGGCGACGAGGAAATACCATGGGGTGTCCCACTGTATTAGGGGCCTGAAGTATGTAGTTAAAGGCATGGCGAGAGTGAGAGTCACTAAAGCTAAAAGCTTCCATTCTGAACAGTATGGATGGTGCTAGGGAGATGAGAAAAAATTCCATTTTCAGGTCACACCTGAAAGGAAATCACCTTTCTACCAATAGAACTGAATGAGTGCAAAGAGCTGAAGTCATGCAAAAAACGCCATAATGATCAGCAGAATCCTAGGCTTCAACTTTCACCGCAGATCATGCATGGAGTAAATTTGCTCAAGCATGAATCACACACCCACCTCCTTTGTGTCTATCTCCAAACGGGTACAAGGTAATTCCACACCAAAAACACTCTCCTGGGGAAGAAGAAACCCTCACACATGATACAATAGACATGAATAACCTAAGATATTAAAAAACTAGAAACTTAAAAAAGAAACATCTGAATGATCAGGAGTGACTAATGAATACATTACCAGACATTCTGGGTGGGATTTTTTTCTGCCAGGCCAACTTTGATATGGGGCAGAGGAAGAAGAGGGGAGATGGCTCCTTATTCTCAAAGGTACTGGTTGACTTCACCAGAAGACAGGAAAAGCTTGAGGTTTATGCCCTTCACTGATGCAAGATTACACAACTAACTAATCTGGGGTCTGGACACAGTGGCTCATGCCTGTAATGCCAGCAACTTGGGAGGCCGAGGTGGGTGGATCACTTGAGCCCAGGATTTTGAAACCAGCCTGGGCAACATAGTGAGAACCCATTTCTAAAAAAAATAATAAAAAATTTTTAATTAGCCAGGCATGGTGTCATGCACCTATAATCCCAGATACTTGGGAGGCTGAGGCAGAAGAATCACCTAAGCCCAGGAGTTTGAAGCTGTCGTGAGCGATGATCACACCACTGCACTCCAGCCTGGAAAACAGAGAGAGACCCTCATCTCTGAAAAAAAAAACAAAAAATTAATTAAATTATTTAAAAATCAAAATCTGATCCAAATAAAAGGAGCGTTTAAAATGAAAAGCAAATGAATATCATAGCAATATTAACTTCACCATAGACTGATATCTTGGCTTAGAAGTCTTTCTATTTAATCGTGCAAAGATGACGTCCATGCACTCTTTCTCAACTTGTATATGAGGATACCCTGGACAGAAAGAAGTCACTCTTGATTTATCGCAATATCTTAGACTTCATCTTTTCCCCCTTTCTCATTTTTGAATTAGAAGCCAAAAAACTAAAGTAGAGGCAGGAAAGAGAATAATTTTAGTTTGTATAAATACCAAATTACTCTTTAGTATGAGTCATGTGTTATAGATTCTTTGAAGAATTTTGCATGCAATACTGGTTGCCATACACAGGATGCTAATTGTAGCTCAACATGGAATACAGAAAAGAATACAGATCCTTGAACAATCTGAAATTGTAAGTGTAGTTAAGAGGGATGTACTCATTCCTCTTACAAACATTAGAAGCTGACATGGCCAGGATTTTTAAAAGTTTATAAGTATATGAAAAAAATATTTTTATATAATTGCTTTGCTAAAACATAACTGGAGAAATAAAGTAAGGAAACTAGCTTGTCATGAAGAGAATAAACCTTAGTTTCCTCAGGGATACAGGGAATACAGGAAGTTATCCTCATCTGACTCAACGTGATTCAACATGGTTTTCTAATTATAGCTAATCTGTGGGGAGGCTGATACACACATTTGTAGTGGGGGGGTTGGTGGTGATGACAGAAAGTTTTTTACACATCTCCTAAAGCAGAAATCATGTGGTTATTGTCCAACATCACAATTATGGCAAGCAAGATATATGTCTCTTTGTGGTGGAAAAGATACAGACATGCAAACTCAGACTGGATTTGGGCTAAAGAGACAAATCAGCATCTTCACATACAATGCTCAGGTGCACTCACCCTTCCAAGGCCTGTTTCCCTTTCTTCTACAATGGGTTTTCCCTTTTCTGGAAGATCTCTACACCCTTGATATCTTCTCCGACAGAAGTTCTGCCCATTGTGTAAAATTTCTTTGGCCCTTCTCACCTTTTTCTCCTCTTTTCAGGGGTCATCGGGAAGAAGGTAAGAATCATGGCGAGGGTAGGGGGGATGAGTGTCACCTGAGGAGGTTGTTAATGCAAAAAAATTCAATAATTTCTTCGAATTTTTTCTGCCTCTTTTTCTTTTCCGCTTTGTCCCCCTAGAAAAACCAGCTGGCACTATGAGCTCAAGGGAAGTCTGACTGGAATAGATGGAAAGGAATGAATTTAAACTCACGGCTGTCTATGAGTTTAAAATACCTTATCAGTTAAAAAGATCCAAGAAATAATGAATTCATGCCCTGCAAAAATTCTATCCTTCCAACATCCCTTTCATCCATCTGAAAGGCTGAATCACATCTGCCTGGGACTTTAAAGTAACTATGAAATATAGACCATCATTGCCAGTGGGTATCGTCAATAGTTGTAAAGAATCCATTTCCAGGGTTTCTGGATCACTAAAATGGGCTATTTTGCTTGTTAAGGAGGGAGGGGGCCAATGTGCAATGTGTGAGTCCGCCTGCCTCTTGCTTCTAGTTCTTTTTATGCGCATACAGAAAGAGGAGGAATATCATAGGCTGGTTTTATCCCTAATGAATTAATGAGGTGGTCCTATTCTTTGTAAGGTCCTACTAATTAATTAATGAAGTGGTCCTATTCTTTGTAAGGTCCTACTAATTAATTAATGAGGTGGTCCTATTCTTTGTAAGATTTATATATTGAGTTTTTCAGAATAAGCAACATCTTTCAAATGTGAATTTTTCTCTTAAACTCAGCATGAGTCTTCAGAACAATAGTATGTCACTTCCTCTAGATGACTTCTGTGGAATTAAATTTAAAACTCAGTAGAATAGTCTTAGCAAGAGAGATGGTTTTACATGCTTTGAGAAAGAAATTTAAAAGGAAGATAGACCCATACACAGTCTTTTTTTTTTTTTTTCTTTTTTGAGATGAAGTCTCGCTCTGTCACCCAGGCTGGAGTGCAGTGGTGCGATCTCGGCTCACTGCAACTTCTGTTCACCTCCAGGGTTTGAGCGATTCTCCTGCCTCAGCCTCCTGAGTAGCTGGGATTACAGGTGCCCGCCACCAAGCCCGGATAATTTTTGTCTTTTTAGTAAAGACGGGGTTTCACCATGTTGGTCAGGCTGGTATTGAACTCCTGAGCTCAGGTGATCCACCTGCCTTGGCCTCCCAAAGTGCTGGGATTACAGGAGTGAGCCACCAAGCCCGGCCATCATACACAGTAGTTTTCTAATAATCTGAATTTATTAAGTGGCTGTTACAGTGAATGAATGAATTTTTTAAAAGCGTGGGCAACAATAAACCACTAGAAATTTACAACAGCTTACATTTTAAAACTACGATGTTGATGTGAGTAAACACACAGAAAAGATAAAATAAATATCTGAGCAAAACAGCAAGGCCACAGTAAGATGAGTAAGAAAAACAGTAAGGATGTGACAGATTCAACAAAGTCCTGGGTGGCCTAGCGGGGAAAAAAAATGTATAGTAGACTATTATAAGGAAGGAATGCCGTGGTTATTAAAACAGGGTACTGAAATCTGTGAAACCATATTAGTAACCTCAAGAATGGCAAACATGACTTATTAAGTTGGATTAAGAAAAAAAGAGGGCAAACTGAAAACAAACAAATTACTGTTTGGTATGAGTCATATGTTATAGATTCTTTCTAGAATTTTGCATGCAATCCTGGTTGCCATACATGAGATGCTAATTGTATCTCAACATGAATACAGAAAAGAGTAGAGATTCTTGAACAATCTAAAATGTTAAGTGTAGTTAAGAGGGATGTATTCTTTCCTGTTAGAAACATCAGAAGCTGACATGGTCTGGATTTGTTAAAGTATACGTGTATGAAAAAGATATTTTTAAGTAGGTTTTCAACTCCATAGTGTTGCATAATTTCAAATTAAGAAAAAGAGGCTGAGTGCAGTGGCTCACGCCTGTAATGCCAGCACTTTGGGAGGCCAATGTGGGTGGATCACGAGGTCAGGAGATCGAGACCATCCTGGCCAACATTGTGAAACCCTGTCTCTACTTAAAAAAAAAAAAAAAAAAAAAGATTAGCTGGGCCTGGTGGTTGGTGTGTGCCTGGTGCCTGTAGTTCCAGCTACTTGGGAGGCTGAGGCAGGAGAATCCCTTGAACCCAGGAGGCGGAGGTTGCAGTGAGCTGAGATCGCATCATTGCACTCCAGCCTGGTGACAGAGCAAGACTCCATCTCAAAAAAAATTAAAAAAGAAAAAGAAAAAGAATGAGCAAATGGAAGAGATTCAACAACATAAATGTTAAGATGCTCATGGTAGAGAATATAAGTAATACTCTTATCTGAAAAAGTGAAGAAAACATATGGAAGATGTTACCAGGAAGGAAACCAAGCAATGAGGATCAATGAATTCAAGAAGTGCCTACAAACGCTTTGGAGAACAGAGGGATTTTTAAAAGGGATAAACTCAGAGGATGATAAGACCGGATAGATGTGACAAGAGGACTTCTTCAAAACCACTATTTCTAGTGCTTGAAGACATTTATTAAATAACATAAACCCAAAGAAGCTTGCCTTACATAAGCTCTTTATGCTGTTTGGGTAGAAAAAATCTCGCAAACTAAATCCAAGTTTGAAAATGCAAAACTACTGAATCAGTTCAAACCTAATTATTATTTCAAGTCACCACTGTACCTACTACAAGCCCCTCACAAATCATGCCAGATTAAACACCTCAGGCCCTCAAATTTCTATGCCTTCAAATCACTATTCAGAAGCTGTGCTTTTCCTCCTAGTTAAATAAATGATTCTAATTTAGCCGATGGTATAATTTGCTTTTAAACTGTGTATTTTACACTAACACCTGTTTCCTTCCTGTTCAACTTTCTGTCACTAAAATATTCAGAATAAACTGAAACCACCTTGCCATTTGATCTTCTTCATCTGCATTTTATAATGATCAGATTTTTTAATACAGTCAAGCTTTGTTCACATTGGTAGAAACATAGCGAAATACATTTTCAATCATTTTAAAAAGAAAAAGCTTTGTTTTGGTCTTATATTTGGCAAGTTTGTATTGTTTTATTTTTTGGAAGGCTTAATGTGGAACGCAAAGAGATGGTCAAATTAGAGAGTTTTTTGTTTTGTTTTCTTGTTTTTGGAATAGCTGTGTGTCTACCTGCTTCGTGTGTGGCAGTATTGAGAAGAAGGCTGGCATTACTGGAATAGGAAAGTTTTTACTTACAACACAACAGCCAAGTCAGTCTGGCATCACTGGGGGAATACTGCAATCTAGCTTTCAAAACAAAACAAGTTACTGTGTCTTTCCTTGCCAGTTCAAAGGATGGAGACCAACTCAAAGCCAATTTCTATGGAGCCTTGTGCCGATCTAGGCCATTGAAGAAAAGCTGATCATTTAAAAAGCACTCAGCTGCAAGTGGATTTCAACTCAGATTCTAGCTTCTAGCATGAAGAACATGCTAGTTTCTTTTGTTGGCACTAGAAAAAAGCAGGCAAAATTCCATCCTAATTATGAAAAGCTTTACTTACAGGGGTAATTAAGTACACAAAATGTTAGTAAAAGGAGCTGCAAGTAAAAACACCAACAACATTATACAGGAGAGTATTAAAAGAGAAAAGGAGTCATTCTGTACTATATTTACAGCTAAGGAAATTTAAAGAGTGACCTATACATGTTTTGTAAAAAGTTTTAATGGCAACATTACAATCCATATAGAAAAATACACAGAACTATACATAAAGATTAACACATGGATCAATTAAAGAAAAGCCTTGCCTACATTCCTACTAATACACACCTCAAAACAAAATTTTTTTATGGCTCTCTGAGAAAAAATAGGAAAAAACAGAAATACTTTAGGTGGCATCAAAGCTTTAGGGGACGTCAGCTCTTCCTGCTCTCATTTTAACTTCATTTACACTATTCTCTTTCTTTTCTATAAGCTATTGGGTTAGTTTTTTTGTTGTTGTTGTTGTTTTTCAGACAGGGTCTGACTCTCTTGCCCAGGCTGGAGTGCAGTGGCTTGATCTCGGCTCACTGCAGCCTTGACCTCCTGGGCTTAAGCGATCCTCCTGCCTCAGCCTCTCAAGCAGCTGGGAGTAGGTGGGGCTACAGGCACATGCCACCATGCCCAACTAATTTTTGTATTTTTTTGTAGAGACGTGGTCTCATTGTGTTTCCCAGGCTGGTCTCAAACTTCTGGGTTCAAGTGATCCTGCCACCTCAGCCTCCCAAAAGGCTGGGATTATAGGCATGAACCACTGCGCCGGCCTCTCTTCTATAAATTTTTGGTTAGCAAGGTTTATACTACAGTTTCTTAAAATGTGTTTACTAAAACTTGATATTTCAAAGATACTTTTCTGCTGGGCACGGTGGCTCATACCTGTAATCCTAGCACTTTGGGAGGCTGAGGTGAGTGGATTACCTGAGGTCAGCAGTTCGAGACCAGCCTGACCAACATGGTGAAACCCTGTCTCTACTAAAATACAAAAATTAGCTGGGCATGGTGGTGCATGCCTGTAATCCCAGCTACCCAGGAGGCTGAGGCAGGAGAATCGCTGGAACCGGGGAGGCAGAGGCTGCAGTGAGCTGAGATCATGCCACTGGCACTCCAGTCTGAGACTCTGTCTCTTAAAAAAATAAAAATAAAAAAAAAGTCAGCTATGGAAGGATAGCACAGACATTTCATTCACTTTTAAACCTGGCGCATCATCACATGAAACAATTCCACAGAACCACCAAACATAGTCATTTTTTATAAACAGTACATTGGTACTATCATAGCAGCATATTAAGTCCTGACTCTTCTAGGGAGGCATCATTAACTGTCACCAATAAATCAATACTTTTTGATCTTCACTCTGTATATGAGCATAAAGGGTAAGGTATGTTGATTACCAAGAGAAGATCAAACATCACAGCACGTGAAAGAAAGAGAGAGGGAGGGAGATGGATAAGGTGAGGAAGAGGGGGAAGAATGGTGGGGTATGGGCTAATTTTAATTTGTGCATTCAAATTTAGGTTCAATAATGCAAATCTCTATTTCCACATAGGTCTGTTCAACGTGTAAGTTAAAAACACAGAAGTCTTTAGATTTTGCTTTCAATCCTCCTTCCTCCATGAAGACTTGATGGAAGAAAGAGTCTTCAAAACTTTTATGAAAATAGGCAATAAAACCAGTTTACTGTCAAATATTAAAACAACAGTGGAGGTAATCTTCATAAACACAGCAAATCTGTCTCTGGGGGATTCTGGTGACTGTGTCCGAAAGTCACCAGAATCCCCCAGAAGGCCAGAAAGGATTTTCCAAAGGGGTTTTAATTATATTCCCAGAGCCCAGACTCCTCAAGAGAAAAATCACAGTCCATATATCTTTAGTCTCTTCATCAAAAGCAAAGAAAAAAGTTATAAATTTCTCCTTCTGAGATTAATGAACTCTTGCCTATAAAACTATATTATGCTTTAAGTTAAAAACAGCTTAAACTTTTGACCATTTATTTTTAGGGAAAAAAAAGTTTATCTTAAGGTTTTTTGAGGTTGAAAAATATATTATTTATCCAGAAAATTATAGTCTGATATCATGATCATTCTATGGGTAACAAGTGCTACCAGCAAAATTATTTACCTTCTCATAAAAAATACTTACTAGCAAATACTTGCATAAATAGGCTAAGACTTGAAATTCTTATTGAAATTCAAATGGCTGCACCTTTTTTCATTTCCACCAGCGGTGTATGAGGGTTCCAGTTTCTCCGCATCCTTATCATGCTAGCTATGGCCTTTCTCTTTGATTATAGCCATCCTTGCACATGTGAGGTGGTGTTGCATTGTGGTTTTGATTTTCATTTCCCTAATGCTAATAGTGTTGAATAGTATCCTTTTATGTGCTTATTTGAGAGTGGTATACTTTTCTGGAGAAATCCCTACTGAAACCTTTTGCCCATTTTTTTTCTTTCTTTTTCTTTTTCTTTTTCTTTTTTTTTTTTTTTTTTTTTTTTTTTTTGAGACAGAGTTTCACTCTTGTTGCCCAGGCTGGAGTGCAATGGCACAGTCTCGGCTCACCACAACCTCTGCCTCCTGGGTTCAAGCGATTCTCCTGCTTCAGACTCCCGAGTAGCTGGGATTATAGGCATGTGCCACCACACCTAGCTAATTTTGTATTTTTAGTAGAGATGGGGTTTCTCCATGTTGGTCAGGCTGGTCTCAAACTCCCGACCTCAGGTGATCCACCCGCCTCGGCCTCCCAAAGTGCTGGGATTACAGGTGTGAGTCACTGCGCTCGGCCTTGCCCATTTTGAAATTAGATTTTTTTAAAATTATTGTTGTTATTGAGTTGTAGGAGTTATTTAGATATTCAGGATGTTAACCACTTATCAGATTTGTGACTTGCAAACATTTCCTCCCATTTTGTGGGTTGGTTGTCTTTTTAAGTTTTTTGATGGTATTGTTTGTAGATTCAAAATTGTTAACTTTGATGTAGAATAATCTATTTTTTCTTTTGTCATATGTGCTTTTAGAGTCATAGATCTAAGAAACCATTGCCTAATCTCATTCTTTTGCATGTGGATATACAGTTGTCCCAACACCATTTGTTGAAAAGACCATTCTTTCACCCTTGAAATGTCTTAGTACCATTGTCAAAAATCAACAGACCATAAATGTAAGAACTGATTTCTGGACTCTCAAATATATTCCATTGACCAATATGTGTATTAGTATGCCAGTACTATATTGTCTTAATTACTATAGTTTTGTAATAACTTTTGAAATCAGGAGGCTTCCAACTTTGTTCTTTTGCTAGATTGTTTTGGCTATTCTGAGATCCTTCATTTTTCACGTGAATTTTTAAATTAGCTTGTCTATTTTGCTAAAAAAAAATGAGTTTGGAGAAATGGTTGGGATGTTGCTAGACACTGTGTTGAATCTGTAGGACAACTTGGCAAGTATCATCATCTTAACAATATCAAGTCTTCCCATCCATAACCATGGCATGTTCCCTTTATTTAGATCCTCCTTAACTTCTTTCAACAATGCTTTCTAGATTCAGTGTAAAATTCTTTTTTAAAATCCATACTTCAGTATCTTATTCTTTTTAATAATACTGCAAAGGGAGTTGTTTTCCTAATTACATTTTCACAATGATAATTGCTAATGTCTAGAAATACAATTAGATTCCTTGTTACGTCTAATAGTTTCTTCTAATGAATTCCTTAGGACTTCTTACATACAAGATCATGTCATCTGCAAAATGTTTTGCTGCTTCCATTCCAATCAGGAGACCATTTATTTCTTTCCCTTGCCTAATTGCCTTGACTAGAACTTCTAGCACATTGCTAAACAGAAGTAACAAGAATGAACATCCTTGTCTTTTTCCTGAAAAACATCCAGTCTTCAATGTGAGCCCTGGGTTTTTCACAGATGCTATCAGGCTGAGGAAGTTCCCTTCTAGTCCCATTTGTGTGTGTGTGTGTATGTGTGTGTGTGTGTGTGTGTGTGTCACTAAAGTGTATACGATTTGGTAACTGCGGATTCTACAGCTATTGAGATGTTCACGGACTTTTGTCTTTTTTCTTTTTTAGAGACAAGGTCTCATTCTACCACCCAGGCAGGAGTACAGTGGCACGATCATAGCTCACTGCAGCCACAAACTATCACTTAAGAGAACTATGTAATTATACTATGTTTTGTGCAGATAAAAAATGTTTACCAGTGCTCCTTGTTTTTGTATATGTGATCTCAAATTACCATATCATTTTCGTTCAACTTGAACTTTCTTTACTGTTTCTTGAAAGCCAGGTCTTTTAGCAACAAATTCTCTCAGTTTTTGTTTATCTGGAAATGTCTGTCTTTTGTCTCCATTTTAGAAAAACTCTCACTGGATGTAAGATGACTGGTTGAACATTTCGCTTTCAGTACTTTGAATGTCATCCTACTGCCTTCTGGTCTTCATTAATTCTGATAAGTCTGCTGTTAGTATTATTGGGGTTCCCTTGTATGAGATGTGTTGTTTTTCTTTCACTGCATTCATACTTTTTAATTGTTAGCTTTCAACAATTTGACTATGATATAGGGGGTGTGGATCTCTTTATGTTTATCTATGAGGAATTCATTGAACTTCTTGGATGTGTGTATTAATGTTTTTCATAAAGTTGAGAAGTTTTCAGCCACATACATTCAATTATTTTTCTGCCCCTTTTCTCTCTCCTCTCCTTTGGATATAGTTCACATACACTGGTCCCTTAGTGGTGTACCCCCATTTTTCTGAGGCTGTCAGTTTTTTTCATTCTTTTCTGTGTATGTTCTTCAGATTGTGCCATCTCTATTGATCTATGTTCAAGTCTGCTGATTATTTTCTTCTGTCACCACTAATCGATCGTTAAATCATCTAGTAATTTTTTCCCATTTTGGTTATTGTACTTTTAACTCTAGAATTATTTTATAATGTCAATCTATTTATTGATATTCCCTACTTGACAGTGTCCCCATACCTTCTTTGATTTCTTACAAATAGTTGCCTGGAGTTCTTTGAAGATATTTTTAATGGGTGCGTTGAGTTCTTTGTTAAGTCTAACATCTGGGTCCTTTTGAATAATGTTTCTGTTGCCTGTTTGTTTTCCTGTGTATAGGCCACTCTTTCCTGTTCTTTACATGACTTGAATTTGTTGTTGAAAACTAGACATTTCACGCATTATATTTTATCAATTCCAGATATTGATTTTTCCCTTCCCTGCCCCAGAGCTTCTTGTGTTTCTGGTTTGCCTATTTATTTACTTGGTTACTTCACTAGGCTCATTCAGTGAAATCTGTTTCTGGCTCAGTGAGCAGCCTGACATTCCTGCACACATTTTTCCTTCACGTTTTTAATCTTTCAGCCTGGCTACCTATGGGTCACCCCTGAATGGGCATGAGCCATTTATCAGTGAAAGATTATTCTTAAGGCCCCTGGGCCCTTAGGGTTTTACCCTTAACCACTGGGGCTGAGGGGTGCCTTGGAGTCTGCTATCACATTCAGGGAATTTACCAATTTTTTCTACCATGTTCATCTGGAAACTAGCCACTGGGCTTTTCCCTCTCCAGTTGCTCCTGTGAGGGTACAGCCTTGGGTATGTACACAGCTTTCAGACTGCCAGAGATGACTGCAATATTATTTTTAAGCCTCGTTTCTTAGGAATTGCCCCTGTGTCAGAATAGCTTATTGTTTGCTCAGTGTTTTAACAGAGGTATTGAAACTGACCCAATAGTCCCATAGACAGATCTTTTTGATGAACATAGAAATTGATCATTTGGTCTTAATGCTTGAAACTTATATTTGTTTTATCTGAGTTCCTTCCTCCAAAAAGCACCTTCAGGCCTCTAAATAAGTATCAAAGAACTAAAACTCACCAGCTCACCACACCAGACCCCTCATTCACCATGATTGACTCCTTGCTGCATGCTAGTTCTTGTTTTCTTACACATTGCTACATTTCTCCCCCACTATATAGACCTCTAATTTTAGTCAGCCAGGGAGATGGATTTGAGACTGAGCTCCCATCTCCTTGGCTGCAGCAAATGATTAAAGCCTTCTTCCTTGGCAATACTTGTCATCTCAGTGATTGGCTTTCTGTGCGGCGAGCAGCACGAACTAGACTGAACCCCTGGTGTTTCAGTAAGAGTATGTTTAAGACTCATGCCAAGACTTAGACTCCCACACAATAATAGTGGGAGATTTTAACACCCCACTGTCAACATTTGACAGATCAACGAGACAGAAAATTAACAAGGATATTCAGAACTTGAAATCTTTGGTCCTATTAGGACCAAGTGGACCTAATAGACATCTACAGAACTCTCCACCCCAAATCAACAGAATATACATTCTTCTCAGCACCACATCGCACTTATTCTAAAATTGAACACATAACTGGAAGTAAAACACTCCTCAGCAAATGCAAAAGAATGGAAATCATAACAAACAGTCTCTCAGACCACAGTACAATCAAATTACAACTCAGGATTAAGAATCTCAGTCAAAGCCACATAACTACATAGAAACTGAACAACCTGCTCCTGAACGACTACTGGGTAAATAACGAAATCAAGCCAGAAATAAATAAGTTCTTTGAAACCAATGAGAACAAAGATACAACGTACCAGAATCTCTGGGACACAGCTAAAGCAGTAATTAAGAGGGAAATTTATAGCACTAAATGTCTACAGGAGAAAGCAGGAAAGATCTAAAATCAACACTCTAACATCAAAATTAAAAGAACTAGAGAAGCAAGAGCCAACAAACCCAAAAGCTAGCAGAAGATAAGAAATAACTAAGATCAGAGCAGAACTGAAGGAGATAGAGACATGGAAAGCCCTTCAAAAAAATCAACGAATCCAGGAGCTGGTGTTTTTTAAAAGATTAACAAAATAGACCACTAGCCAGACTAATAAAGAAGAAAAGAGATAAGAAACAAATAGACACAATAAAAAATGATAAAGGGGATATCACCACTGATCCCACAGAAATACAAACTACCATCAGAGAATACTATAAACACCTCTACCCAAATAAACTAGAAAATCTAGAAGAAATGGATAAATTCTTGGACACATACACCCTCTCAAGTCCAAACAAGGAAGAAGTCATATCCCTGAATAAACCAATAACAAGTTCTGAAAACGAGGCAGTAATTGCTAGCCTACCAACCAAAAAAAGCCCAGGACTAGACAGATTCACAGCCGAATTTTACCAGAGGTACAAAGACCAGCTGGTACCATTCCTTCCGAAACGGTTCCAAACAGTAGAAAAAGAGGGACTCTGCCCTAACTCATTTTGTGAGGCCAGCATCATCCTGATACCAAAACCTGGCAGAGACAAAACAAAACAAAAAAATTTCAGGCCAATATCCCTAATGAACATCGATGCGAAAATCCTCAATAAAATAATGGCAAACCGAATCCAGCAGCAAATCAAAAAGCTTATCCACCATGATCAAATTTGCTTAATCCCTGGGATGCAAGGCTGGTTCAACATACATAAATCAAAAACGTAACCCATCACATAAACAGAACCAGTGCAAAAAACCAGATGATTATCTCAACAGATGCAGAAAAGGCCTTCAATAAAATTCAGCACCGCTTTATGCTAAAAGCTCTCAATAAACTAGGTATTGATGGAATGTATCTCAAAATAATAAAAGCTATTTATGACAAACCCACAGCCAATATCATACTGAATGGGCAGAAGATGGAAGCATTCCTTTTGAAAACTGGCACAAGACAAGGATGCCCTCTCTCACCACTCCTATTCAACACAGTATTAAAAGTTCTGGCCAGGGCAATCAGGCAAAAGAAAGAAATAAAGGGTATTCAAATAGGAAGTCAAATTGTCTCCGTTTGCAGATGACATGATTGTATATTTAGAAAATCCCATCGTCTCAGCCCCAAATCTCCTTAAGCTGATAAGCAACTTCAGCAAAGTCTCAGGATACAAAATCAATGTGCAAAAATCACAAACATTCCTATACACCAATAATAGACAAACAGAGAGCCAAATCATGAGTGAACTCCCATTCACAATTGCTACAAAGAGAATAAAATACCTAGGAATAAAACTTACAAGGGATGTGAAGAACCTCTTCAAGGAGAACTGCAAACCACTGCTCAAGGAAACAAGAGAGGTCACAAACAAATGGAAAAACATTCCATGCTCATGGATAGGAAGAATCAATATTGTGAAAATGGCCATAGTGCACAAAGTAATTTATAGGTTCAATGCTACCCCCATCAAGCTACCATTGACTTCCTTCACAGAATTTAAAAAAAAAACTACTTTAAATTTCATATAGAACCATAAAAGAGCCCATATAGCCAAGTCATCCTAAGCAAAAAGAACAAAGCTGGAAGCATCACACCACCTGACTTCAAACTCTACTACAAGGCTACAGTAACCAAAACAGCATGGTACTGGTACCAAAACAGATATATAGACCAATGGAACAGAGCAGAGGCCTCAGAAATAATGTTACACATCTACAACCATCTGACCTTTGACAAACCTGACAAAAACAAGCAATGGGGAAAGGAGTCCCTATTTAATAAATGGTGTTGGGAAAACTGGCAGCCATATGCAGAAAACTGAAACTGAACCCCTTTCCTTACATCCTATATGAAAATTAACTCAAGATGGATTAAAGACTTAAACACAAGACCTAAAACCTGCCGAGGCAGGTGGGTGACTTGAGGCCAGGAGTTCGAGACCAGCCTGGCCATCATAGTGAAACCCCATCTCTACTAAAAATACAAAAAAAAAAAAAAAATTAGCTGGGTGTGTTGGTGGGCACCTATAATCCCAGCTACTTGGGAAGTTGAGGCAGGAGAATTGCTTGAACCCAGGAGGCAGAGCTTGTAGTGAGCTGAGATTGCGCCACTGCACTCCAACCTGGGTGACAGAGCAAGACTTCATTAAAAAAAAAAAAAAAAAAGTCCCTAGAAGAAAACCTAGGCAATACCATTCAGGACATAGGCATGGGCAAAGTCTTCATGATTAAAACACCAAAAGCAATGGCAACAAAAGCCAAAATTGACAAACGGGATCTAATTAAAGAGCATCTGCACAGCAAAACAAACTATCATCAGAGTGAACAGGCAACCGACAGAATGGGAGAAAATTTTTGCAATCTATCCATCTGACAAAAGGGCTAATATCCAGAATCTACCAGAATCTACAAAGAACTTAAACAAATTTACAAGAAAAAAAACAAACAAACAATCCCATCAAAAAGTGGGCAAAGGATATGAACAGACACTTCTCAAAAGAAGACATTTATGTGGCCAATAAACATATGAAAAAAAGCTCATCATCACTGGTCATTAGAGAAATGCAAATCAAAAACACAATGAGATACCATCTCATGCCAGTCAGAATGGCGATCATTAAAAAGTTGGGAAATAACAGATGCTGGAGAGGATGTGGAGAAATAGGAACACTTTTACACTGTTGGTGGGAGTGTAAATTAGTTCAACCATTGTGGAAGACAGTGTGGTGATTCCTCAAGGATCTAGAACCAGAAATACCATTTGACCCAGCAATCCCATTACTGGGTATATACTCAAAGGATTATAAATCATTCTACTATAAAGACGCATGCACACATATGTTTATTGCAGCACTATTCACAATAGCAAAGACTTGGAACCACCCAAAATGCCCATCAATGATAGGCTGGATAAAGAAAATGTGGCACATATACACCATGGAATACAATGCAGCCATAAAAAAGGATGAGTTCGTGTCCTTTGCAGAGACATGGATGAAGCTGGAAACCATCATTCTCAGCAAACTAACACACAAACAGAAAACCAAATACTGCATGTTCTCACTCATAAGTGAGAGTTGAACAATGAGAACACATGGACACATGGAGCAGAACATCACACACCGGGGCCTGTCGTGGGGTGGGGGGGCTGGAGGAGGGATAGCATTAGGAGAAATACCTCATGTAGATGACGGGTTGATGGGTGCAGCAAACCACCATGGCACGTGTATACCTATGTAACAAACCTGCATGTTCTGCACATGTATCCCAGAACTTAAAGTATAATAAAAGAAAATAAATAAATAAAATGGGATTAATAACACACACACACACACACACACACACACAAACACAGACTCATGCCAGTGAAGCTTCCGCTTGGTTTTGGTGGGTCTGTATGAGGTTAGCGAATGCTTTCCTGGGGACACCACATCTTGCTCTGATTGCTCTTGCTTGGATGGCTGCAGCCTGGCAGGTGTGTATTCACACCCTCCCTACTTCCATCGATGATGGTGATCCTTAAAGGGCCCTTCTCAAAGGTCTCCCGTGGTTCTCCATGCTTGCCTGTTATAAAGCTTCTCTAACAGGAGACTGAAGAAATTAGAAATGCCAGCATCCTGCCTCTCCCAGACCAAAATCATAGCCATAGACATAGTTGTAGAGAAAGACAGAGAACTATGGTCTTCTTGGCCACACATGTCTAGAGTAGAGCAGAGCTGGGGGTGGCTGGTAACAGAGTGGGTTGTGGCTCAACTGTCAGAGACTCTTGCTGTTATGAGTTTTAGGAGATTTTCTTGAATGACTGTTTCTCCGTTTCCTGTGTGCCCTTAGGACAATTTTCAGAGATTTTACACAATTTTTTGTTATAATTCTCACCAGTTAAGTTGTTGTTTTACTGGGGAGAGGATTCACCAAGTTCCTCACTATCTCGAGAAGACTCTCCTCCAGACAGCTTGCTAAAGTAATACTTCAGACAGTTTCAGGTCCCAAAGTAATTTTAAAGATTCATAAATTAACAAAAACTAAAGGTGAAATACTAAACATCTTCCATTTCGTTGTCTGGGCATGGTGGCTCACGCTTCTAATCCCAGCACTTTGGGAAGCGGAGGCAGGAAGATTGCCTGAGCCCAGGAGTACAAGACCAGCATGGGCAACATGGCGACTCCCCGTCCCTACAAAATAAAAATTAAAAAGTTAGCCAGGCTCGGTGGCCCACACCTAGAGTCCCAGCTACGTGGGAGGCTGAGGTGAGAGGATTGCTCGAGCCAGGGAAGTCGAGGCTGCAGTGAGCCATGATCATACCACAGTACTCCAGCCTGGGAGACAGAGTGAGACCCCGTCTCAAAAAAAAATAAATACAAAAAATTTTAAAACCTCCATTTTGCAAATGGTTATGGCTTTAAAAAAGAAACAGTTTATTTTCCATTTATAAAAAGTTTTAAATTAAAGAAACTAAAGACACAAATAAGAACTTTATTATTTTTTTTCTAAATCTTAAACTTATGCCCTCAAATAACAGGAACTCTTTTTCGGTTTAGGTCACACGAAGTTTGGTTGTGAATAATCTGACTAGTGTCATCACCAGCATCCCTTCTGGTAGACAAAAGGTAGGACCTATCATAATTGTGACTATGTAGGTCAAATGACGAATAAAATCCTCCTTTGCCCTGAGATCATCCCAAATCCTGTTGCTGTCCATGGTAAAGAAGGATACATCCTGCTGTTTCATACCGTGACACCAAAATAAGCTTCAGGTCCAATTAATCTAAATTCAGTCCTCACACTTATTTCTAGTATGACAAACCCGAGGCTGGGTAGAAGGATGAGAAGGAAACACATTCAGCTAAGAGAAATGAATATAAATGATCTACATTCACATTCCTAAAACTCCCAGACAGAAGCACGCAAGCCAGGTCTGCTAAATGAGCTGCACGGAAACCTTTGCTTGTGGTGCTATTCTCAAAAATCATCCCTTAATCCTCTCTACATATTTAAACCAAATAAATTCTTCAAGGCCCATTTCAAATCATATCTCCTCCACACAGCCTTTATCCCAAGTCCAGCCTATATACTCTGTTCTACTTCTGACCACCCACAGTTTGCACTATCTTTAGTATATAGCATGGAACCTGAAGGATAATTCAAGTATAGTCACTTGAATTACTCAAAACTGTCTCTCTTGGGTTGTTCCACAATAAATTAGCCCTCCAGAGAACCTCTGTGCCCTTTCTGGTATTTTAGCTCATTTCCTCTGCTGCAGTCCCTGCTGAAATGGATCAACTGTGCTGTCATCGGATCAAAAAAGGGGGCAACAGTGAAAGTGTTCACTGTTTAGTTTTTCCAGTGAAACTAAAGAGGGCTCTCCGCAATAGTGGCTCCACTCTAAATTGGCTGTGCTGAGAAAACACTCTCCCATCATCTGCTCCAGATAGAAATAAAATTTTTTTTTTTTTAGAGATGAGATGGGGTCTCACTATGTTGCCTAGGCTGGAGGGCAGTGGGTATCACAGGCAAAATCACAGCACACTACAGCCCACAACAGCCCACCTTGTAGGTGGGTCTACAGGTACATGCCACTGCGTCTGGCATTCCAAAGAGCACTTATACTCTATTCTATAATCTTTCTTCAATTCCTATGAATTATACACAGAACATTCTAGCCATTAAAAATTAATACCCCTTTCTTGTACATTTAGTCCAACAGAATCTTTTTTTTTTTTTTTTTTTTTTTTTTGAGACAGAGTCTCGCTCTGTCGCCAGGCTGGAGTGCAATGGTGCAATCTTGACTCACTGCAACATCCACCTCCTGGGTTCAAGCAATCCTCCTGCATCAGCCTCCTGAGTATCTGGGACTACAGGCGCATGCCATCACGCCCAGCTAATTTTTGTATTTTTAGTAGAGATGGGGTTTCACCATGTTGGCCAGGATGGTCTCGATCTCTTGACCTTGTGATCCGCCCACCTAGGCCTCCCAAAGTGCTGGGATTACAGGCGTGAGCCACTGCGCCCAGCCCAGAATCTTAATACCGTGGTATATAAATATAAAATCCAAAAGAATTAACTATCTACACTATGATTAAATTGTATGCAATTCCAAAGCACGATTACCTAAATATAATTTCCCTAATATATAATCTAGCAAGGTGAAGGATAATTAGCTTCATTACATTTCCTTTATATTATGCTGGTGTATTCGTGTTTTTTTTTTTATTTTTAGCCATTTACTTAGAAGTATAAAAACAATCTTACTGGCTAAAAGAAAATTTAAAAGCAGAGGTTAATATTATTGCATTCCTTGAATTGATTGGGTATGCTCTACAAATAGTTATAGGAATAGCATCTTCAAAAAAAAAATAAATCTTTCAACATCTTAAACAAATCCAGATTCCACAAAACCTATGCTTGTCTAATTATAGTTTTGAATTTTGATGTGGTTTTCTATGTAAATACATTTTTAAGGCTTGCAATAGGAATGTATTCTATTAAAAGCAGATGTTAAAAGTTACAAAGTACCAAATGTTTATTATGTATCCCCAAAACAAATTTAAATTGTTTTATTATAAGATATTTAGTGTTTCAGACATTATTTTATGTCTTTGGTCAAAAGACAAATATAACTGTCCAAATCAACCAAAACACACCCTTGCCAACTACAACTGGAACAATTAACACCAATACAAAACATGTCTTCTATAACACAAATTATCATTCAGTCTGTCACTCTGCAAGCACTGAAATATCTACTAATTACAATAAAACATAGTTTTCAATCTAAAAATGAATATCTGCAATAAATAAAACTGCAGCAAAGATCAAAGATAAAATATGTAATCTCTTTTTCCTTTTCATAGCAGCCAATAATACAGTGGCAGGCAATACCTGAAGTGTGCCACTCTTGTTCTCCCAGATTCCTCAACATAGTAAGAAGCAGCCTTTTATTGGCAATTACTGCTTCCCGTAAGAACACTTACAGGTATTACGTTATGTACTCCCATATAAGAGCAGCTGAATGATGAATACTTCTTTTCCTGTCGTTATTACACATTTTTATAACTTTTTTTTTTTTTGAGACGGAGTCTCGCTCTGTTGCCCAGGCTGGAGTGTAGTGGCGCGATCTCGGCTCACTGCAACCTCCGCCTCCCGGGTTCAAGCAATTCTCCTGCCTCAGCCTCCTGAGTAGCTGGGATTACAGGCATCCACCACTACTCCCGGCTAATTTTTTTGTATTTTTAGTAGAGACAGGGTTTCACCATGTTGTCAGGCTGGTCTCAAACTCCTGACCTCGAACATTTTTAAAAAGTCTTTTTTAGGGATTAGGTCATCAAGCACAGCGGAAAGACTAAACATGATACCAAATATCTAATCCTTAAAGTTAGTATCTGTAATAAATGTGAATTCTAACAAATCCTTTTATTACCTGCCCTTATAATAAGTAGCACATTTAACTATGTATTTTTTTTCTGATCAGATTTCCAGAGGCTAAAGTCCAACAAATATTTAACTGTCATACTTTTTCTCCCATTCTCTGGGCAAAGAATTTTAATCTGATAGATTACATAGAAGAAACCCACAAAGAGATTCATTGTGTTGCATTAAATGGTTAGACCAATGTCAAGTTATGTACTTTTTAAAAAATATCAGATTCTTCTTTTACACTCTTGCTGACTTCTATGTGCAAATTT
Organism: Homo sapiens; assembly: GCF_000001405.40. Taxonomy (NCBI): domain Eukaryota; kingdom Metazoa; phylum Chordata; class Mammalia; order Primates; family Hominidae; genus Homo; species Homo sapiens. The sequence continues at coordinate 240,216,333 of NC_000001.11, read as the reverse complement.
ACATTCTGGGTATCATGTTCCTTTACAGATCCTTTAAACATGATTAGACATTATTTACCTATGGCTTATTTTACAAAGATGATTCTTTTTTTTACCATGGGATAAATGAAATGTAGCATCATTTCACATTTGGCAAGGTTTAACCACAATGGCTGTCTGCCTCTAACCACTATTTATATGCCACACAAGCAAGTGGCTCTTACTTTTACTGCTTACGGAAGCTTATGTATTTAAATCTCATACCACTCAAACTTTTATTTAACTGTGCAAATGTCATGTTGGTGAAACCACAGTTTATATACTTGTCAAAATCTGCTAAAATATTGGCCAGGCGCAGTGGTTCATGCCTGTAATCCCAGCACTTTGGGAGGCCAAGGTAGACGGATCACCTGAGGTCAGGAGTTTGAGACCAGCCTGATCAACATGGCGAAACCACGTCTCTACTAAAAATACAAAAATTAGCTGGTCACGGTGGCCCGCACCTGTAATCCCAGCTACTTGGGAGGCTGAGGCAGGAGAATCGCTTGAACCCGGGAGGGGGAGGTTGCAGTGAGCCAAGATCATGCCACTGCACACCAACTTGGGCAACAGAGTGAGACTCCATTTAAAAAAAAGAAAGAAAGAAATCTGCTAAAACATGGTAAAGGTTTTAAAAGTGTCTCACATACAATTTTATTTATAACCACAGTCATTTAAATACCAAACATATATGAAAAACCAATACACATTCAAATTCTTTTTTTAAAGTATTTAATTCATTTTTAAAAGTATATATTCTGGTCTCCATATAAAATACTGTACTTACACTCATATAAAATATTCCACATCCATAATTATCACTTAATTAGGAAGAGCAGAGGCTTTGAAGCCAGAAGGCTGGAGTCTGAACCCGAGCTCAGCCCCTTACCAGCTTGGAAACATTGAATTCCGCTATATCTCTGTACCTGAGGTTTCTGTACTATGAACTGAGGCTAACGGTGCCTGTCTCACAGGGGTAGGAGCATTATATGAGCTGATATAAGTGCTAAGAACAGTAACTGGTACATGGTAAATAATGGACACAATATGACTTGTGGTTTCCATGGTTATTATTGCTGTAATAATTACTACTATTACTACTACTACTGCACTTACCAAAATATATTTCCTTATGACATTATTTGATAGAAGATTAACCAAAAACTATGCAACCCTTATTATCAAAATCACTCCCAAGTAAATTCTCTCACTTTCCTGCTAATGAGTGCGGATGAATTTTTTTTTCCCTGAGAGAGGGTCTTAATCTGTCACCCTGGCTGGAGTGCAGTGGTACTCTCACAACTCACTGCAGCCTCAACCTCCCTGGGCTCAGATGATCTTCCCATCTCAGCTTCCCAAGTAGCTGGGATGACAGACATGCACCACTGCACCCAGCTAATTTTTATATTTTTTATAGATTCAGAATTTCCCCATGTTCCCCAGGCTGGTCTCGAAATCCTGGGCTCAAGCCATCCACCTGCCTTGGCCTCCCAAAGTGCTAGGATTACAGGTGTGAGCCACCATACCCAGTGGGTTAAACTTTTTAATCCTTATTTGATCACCAAAGATCCTGAGGTGACTTAGGGTCATTACAAACATTAAAAATCACTGAACTACCCTGGAATTAGGGAGGAGATTGGACTAAACACTTACTGGCTCTAAAGCCTTCCTTAAAATTGGGCAAGTGTGAATGTGTGTGAATGCTAAAGCATGAACATCATAAGAGATCACTTTTTCTTTTTCTTTTTCTTTTTTTTTTTTTTTTGAGATGGAGTCTCACTCTATTGCCCAGGCTGGAGTGCAGTGGTGCGATCTCGGCTCACTGCAACCTCTGCTTCCCGGGTTCACGCCATTCTCCTGCCTCAGCCTCCCGAGTAGCTGAGACTACGGGCACCTGCTGCCACGCCCGGCTAATTTTTTGTATTTTTAGTAGAGACGGGGTTTCTACATGTTAGCCAGGATGGTCTCCATCTCCTGACCTCGTGATCCGCCCGCCTCGGCCTCTGAAAGTGCTGGGATTACAGGCGTGAGCCACCACACCCGGCCAAGATCACTTTTTCTATTTTCCTCTTTATTCCTTAAGAGACGGGGTTCTACATCAGACAATTCTAATGTCAAAGTGTCACACTCATTTGGTTATGAAAAACTATGTCAAACTATATTCTGATAAACTTCTATGTACCTTCTCAGCTAATCTTTTGTGTAATGCTTCAAAGTAAAGAAGGAGAAATGAAGAAATCATCATAGAACAAACTTAAATCCATGCTCCATGAGAAAAGTATAAAATGCTTTGTCTTAAGCTCTTTGGAGAAAAAAGGATTTGGAAATACAAGATATTCTTCATTTCTATCAGTCTGAGCATCCAGAGAAAATAACCCTCTTTCTCCTTATGCCAAACGGCAATGTGCCCAGCTGAGGAATCTTCTATTATCACACTGAAAACGTCTCTGCCATGACGGTAAAAACAGCACAGGCACCTCGTTAAACACCAGTGCATTCAACCACAGTCTTACTTTCAAGGAGAACAGAGATCACAGAAAAATTATTTGGCTATTTTTAAATATTTAAACAAAAACAGAACTTCCAGCTTCCATTGTATATAAGAAGAATTGCTTGAAATACCTCCATAAACATATGCCACGGCATTAAAGGCTATTAATTTTACTGGAAATGAATCATAAGGTACCAAAATGTCTGCACATACAATCAGTGCACATTTCCCATAAAAAGGGGAACAATTTGCATGCATCCTGAAAATACACTTTCCTTAAACAAAATTTTAAATGTCTCAAGTAAATGGAATGGACAGATTTTTCTTCCAAATACAATGAAGTTAAATAAAACTATGTTTCTTCAGCAATCCATCACTTTGTAGTGATTTTTCTCTAACATACATTTAAAAAAATCTTTTGTCCCTCCAAAAACAGATCTGAAGTGCAGAGCTCAGCACCAAGACCCAGGCCAAGGAGTTGCTGAATAGGTTTATCTGGAGTCATGATGGAGACTGTCCCATAAACCCTGTTTGAAGCTGAAGGTCAACAGTAGCGTCACTATCAATAAACACAAATGAGGATATTGGCAAAGTCTCTTACCGACAATTTATGAAATGCCTTAATGACAGAATGAGGAGATTATCTTAAGATGATGATGCTCAACACAGAGGCACTGTTTATATGCTGAGACCCCTTCATGCCAACTAGTTTAATGTGAAGTTTGATGATTTACATGTAAATCATATTTCAGTAAGCTAAAACTTAATACTATGTCAAACAGAGAATGAAATCCTACAGTCTTGGGCAACCTGGGAGACTTCTTCCTTATCTGTATTCCCTTAGCCAAAAAAACAAACAAACAAAAACAAACAAACAAAAAAACACAAAAAAACAAAAGGGGTGCTGGAAGTAAGGAGAGCATGGCTCAATTTTCTGAGTATTTGGTCCCTGGACGAGAGAGGCTCCATGCCACATCTACACGTTTGTCATGTGACAGTTCCGGCTGCCTGACTCTTCTCAATGTAAGCCCCACCCATATTCCTCGCCCAGACAGATTTTACATCTCTGACACAACCCAAAAGAGGAGATACGATGATTCAGCCTCAGTGTACTATATGCAAATATACCAAGGATTTTTTAAATATTTATCTCTGCCAGAGAAAATATGATTTTCCATTACTCCTTTTAACATTGTCACCCTGGACTTACTGATTATTATGAAATGAGTAACCTTCTGGTTTTTAATCACTACTGGACATAGCCACTGATATTTATAAAGTCTTCATCCCTTAGTCAGCTGATTAATTTAATAAATATTTATTGAGTGCCTACAATGTGCCAGGTGCCATCTCATTTACTATGTTACTGACCTGAGGTCACCAGCAACCAGTGATAATGCAACAAGCATTTCTAAAAGAATTCAACTGCATAATGTTTGGGTTTACATTATTCTCAGATTAATAAAATGCCTGGGGTGAGCCTGCTCACCCAGCCAACTACGGGTCACAGGGGTCTAGCTGTCCCATTGAAATCCATCTTCTCCTGGCTGGATTTGGCAATGTCCATCTAATGAAAATTGTCTGCTCTGAAATAAATATCAATGGAAACAACTCCAGGTCATGTGCCTAGCTATTACTTCCAGGTCAGAGGCACAAATTCGAGGAATCACCCCATTAGCTGGAACTCCTATGGGGCTACTGGGCAAGGAGAACACTGGGGATATCAGCCTCATTTTTCCCTCTTTGCTTCCCAAGACTGAGCTGCTTGCCATTCCTTTGCTTCCAAGACCTCTTTCCTGCCACCCTGCAAAAGTTAAGAAATGTAGCCACTCTCCATTTCAGGGTAAAGACGGGCACCATTAGCAATTCTTTCTATCTGGAGTTCATTATCATGAGGTTTTACTCTACTTTCCAAATGACACCCCTGAGAAATTTATAACAATATCCCTTTATGACAAGTCCAATGGATATATCAGTAGAAAAAAATTGCTTGGAAATGTTTTTCTTGAAATGCACCAATCTTTCTTTTTATGACTCAAAAATGTCACAGGTTAGATCAAAGGATCTAACATAAAATAGAGAGGTTAGAAATGGATACAAGATTTCTCTTCCACATTTCAAGTACAGTGTGACTGTTTAACTGGATTCTAATGGCATCCACTTCAGATATAATGCAACAAAATACCAAACACATTATCAGTTACTAAGGATTGGATTTCTTGATTGTTTTCCTTTGCCCACTCTTTCCTTTCTTTCCATCCATAGGAGCACTCAGATGGACATAAATCAAATGAAAATTTATTTCTAGGCAACTAATTCTGGAAAGAAACAATGGCGGATATTTTGGAAATATGTATTATGATGTTACAAATAAAAGTTGGGACATTATCACTGGATGGAGATAATTATGTGTTGTTCTATTTGGGCTAGTCTTACTTAACCACATGTTCTAAAGTTCTAACCCTTGCTGTCTGCCTAAGATCCATGGAGGTTTACACAGCCCAAAAACTATTTCAAAGTTTTCTCTAATGACAGTTCACACTTATGCCAGAAACACTGTCCAATTTCATAAAGCACAAAAATACTCACTTGTTTAGCCTTCGTCTTTGAGATAGTATCAGAGATAGGTTTCTTTCTCTCCTTTACAGCAGTTTTAGAAAATAATTCCTCAAATTCATGACAATCTATGGATGGCTCTTCAATTTTTTCCCAAATAAGTGAAGTACTGGAGTCTCTAAAATTAAGCAAAAGAACAATAAAACAGCCATCAAACTGAACTTACATCACAGCAAGCATAAATAGAAAGGAAGAAGGGGAGGGAGGAAGGCCAGCAGGAGGGAAGGAGGGAAAAAGAAGAGAGATAAGAAGGAAAAAATATTCTTTTTCTTTAAGACCACCATTTGTTTGATCAACTTAATGGGAAAGTTGAAATACCATCCATGAATGAAATTTTTCCCCAGAAATAATTTCCAGGAAGCCTCAGTCATCAGGCCACTGTATAAAAATGTAAAAAGAAAACTTATCTCAGTGTGGGCTAGGGAGGCAAGAAATGTCTGATCTCTCAAAATCCCAACTTGACTTAACAACTTTGCAGATTATTCATGGGTTAAAAAATACATATTTACAGGATGGCATCCTCTCCCTCCTACTGCCTCCCATCACCCCATTGTTATTTGTCTTCTCAGTGACTGCAGATTCGTGTAGTACCACCTAAAAAGGGTAAACACATCTTTTTAAAAAGCAAACCAACAACAAAACACAAGAACTTCCCCTGTCATATCTAGAGAAAATGACTTTGGGGCACAGTTTAAAATGAATCACCCACATACATAAGTGGCGTGGTAACAACACAGAAGATGAACTGAAAAATTAAAAGTCATCAGAATATACAGATTCTTGCCCCCGATATGGTGTAGTGAGTAGAAAAATCCATATAAGAAATGAAAACGAACCTGGCAAATACCCTGTTTCTAAATGCATGCCACATCACACAAAGGAAATTCACACAAAGGAAATTCAAGGAATCATGAAACATTAGAACAAGGAAGCCCCAGTGAGGTTTACAGTGTGCGTTTTTCCCTGCCACCTACACATTCCACAGCCAAGTATCACAGCATTGTCTCAATGACTAGGCAACACGGGCTATAGATGACACATAAATGTATAAAGTACCACCAGAATACCTGGTGGAAAGTATTCTTTTATGATGATCAGTCCCAGCTATGATTGTATGACTTTGTGCTGTGTTGCCAATGAGGGACAGAAGTGCCATGAAATTTTCAAAACTAAATTATTTCACACTTGGGGTATGGATATGTGTATTTTTGTGAAGCATGTTTCTGAAGAAAGCCCACAAGATGGGACTGTAAACCAGGGCTGTGCATTTTATTTATTTATTTATTTACTTACTTACTTATTTTTGAGACGGACTCTCGCTCTGTCGCCCAGGCTGGAGTGCAGTGGCGCGATCTCGGCTCACTGCAAGCTCCGCCTCCCGGGTTCATGCCATTCTCCTGCCTCAGCCTCCCGAGTAGCTGGAACTACCGGCGCCCGCCACCTCGCCCGGCTAATTTTTTGTATTTTTAGTAGAGACGAGGTTTCACCGTGTTAGCCAGGATGGTCTCAATCTCCTGACCTTGTGATCCACCCGCCTCGGCCTCCCAAAGTGCTGGGATGACAGGCGTGAGCCACCGCACCCGGACAGGGCTGTGCATTTTAAAGTGTGCACTAAATCATGCTCCAGAGTCAGTTTACCTAAGAATTTGATTTGCGGCCGTGCCCGGTGGCTCACGCCTGTCATCCCAGCATTTTGGGAAGCCGAGGCGGGCGGATCACGAGGTCAGGAGATGGGAAACCATCCTGGCTAACACGGTGAAACCCCGTCTCTACTGAAAATACAAAAAAAAATTAACCGGGCGTGGTGGCGGGCGCCTGTAGTCCCAGCTACTCGGGAGGCTGAGGCAGGAGAATGGGGTGAACCCGGGAGGCGGAGCTTGCAGTGGGCCGAGGCTGCACCGCTGCACTCCAGCCTGGGTGACAGAGCGAGACTCCGTCCCCCCTCCAAAAAAAAAAAAAAGGATTTAAGAATTTGATTTACATTTTTAAGCTGTTTGTCAGAAATGGAAACTTGAAGTAGTAAAAGCAAAGAGTAGATTCTTACATGGAAAATAATTTCGCTACAAATGTCTCTGCTTACCTGCCCTCATTCATTTTCCAAAGGGCATATAAGCATACTTTCACTGGAATTTAGGCATAAATAAGTAGCAGTCTTACAACTAGATAACAGAGCATGTATTTTAAGAAAAATATATCCCTCAATCTTTAAGAGATATATCAATAACTACATAGATGGGTATACCTACATCTTATACATTGATACGTATATGTATTTATTTTACATCTTTGGTACTTCTGGAGAAAAGCTTAAAGCTTTAAATAGCAAACTGCTGCACTATATATTGATGTAAAAATCTAGACGAGTTTTAGAGTTGTGCTTAAAAATACATTCAACAGTAATTTTCCCGAGTTTGAAGGTAAACACTTCCCTAATACTGACACACACTGTGCAAAGACGAGCTCACTTTCATGTTACCTTTTACTATGTAGTTGAATCCTGGTCCAGTAAAGAGGCTTCATTGGTCGACAAGGCTCTATGGGCTGCTTCCTACTCCCTTTGTCCTGATTCATCCCTAATCCAAACAAGCCACTTGGCAATGGAGGAGGAAGAAATCCACACACCTGTGGGGTTGGTAAAGTGCTACTCCCAACTTGTGGGAGGAGTGGAGGGCCTGATACAGGAAGCAGAGGGGGCGGTGGGATTCCTGTCCCAGGTGGAGGGAGTGGGGGAGCTGGAGCAGGTGGAATCCCCATACCTGGCAAGGGAGGAGGTGGGGGAATCCCAGCACCAGGTAGAGGGGGCGGAGGAGGTATTCCCACTCCAGGTAGAGGGGGCGGAGGAGGTATTCCCACTCCAGGTAGAGGGGGCGGAGGGGGTATGCCCGCTCCGGGTAGAGGGGGAGGTGGGGGTATGCCCGCTCCGGGAAGTGGGGGCGGAGGGGGTATGCCCACTCTGGGTAGAGGGGGTGGAGGAGGTATGCCCGCTCCGGGAAGAGGGGGAGGAGGGGGTATGCCCGCTCCGGGTAGAGGGGGAGGAGGGGGTATGCCCGCTCCGGGTAGAGGGGGCGGAGGAGGTATGCCCACTCCGGGTAGAGGGGGCGGAGGGGGTATGCCCGCTCCGGGTAGAGGGGGAGGTGGGGGTATGCCCGCTCCGGGAAGTGGGGGCGGAGGGGGTATGCCCGCTCCGGGTAGAGGGGGTGGAGGAGGTATGCCCGCTCCGGGAAGAGGGGGAGGAGGGGGTATGCCCGCTCCGGGAAGTGGGGGCGGAGGGGGTATGCCCGCTCCGGGAAGTGGGGGCGGAGGGGGTATGCCCGCTCCGGGTAGAGGGGGTGGAGGAGGTATGCCCGCTCCGGGAAGAGGGGGAGGAGGGGGTATGCCCGCTCCGGGAAGTGGGGGCGGAGGGGGTATGCCCGCTCCGGGAAGTGGGGGAGGAGGGGGTATGCCCGCTCCGGGTAGAGGGGGTGGAGGAGGTATTCCTGCTCCGGGAAGAGGGGGAGGAAGGGGTATGCCTGCCCCGGGAAGAGGGGGCGGAGGGGGTATTGCCGCTCCGGGTAGAGGGGGCGGAGGAGGTATTCCCGCTCCGGGTAGAGGGGGCAGAGGGAGTATGCCTGCTCCGGGTAGAGGCGGCGGAGGAGGTATGCCCGCTCCGGGAAGAGGAGGGGGAGGGGGTGGCAGCATTTCTGTACCCTGCAGAGGAGGAGGTTGGGGAATGGCTGTACTGGGCAGAGTAGGCACTGTCATGCCAGGGAGAGGGGGAGGTGGGGGAGGCACCATGCCCAGGCCAGGCATGGAGCTGGAGGACTCTGTGCAAGGCAGAGGTGGTGGAGATGGGATGTTACAGCTGTTTTTAAAGGCAGAGGAAACAGAGTGTTCGTGGCTGGTTTGAAACTCGGTAGAAATAGAATGGGGCGGCTGTGACCCAGGCTGTCCTTGCCCAGCAGACCACAGAAGGGATGGAGGTGGTGGAGGCTGTGAGATGCTCTGTGTGGGCTGATGGCTGTCGAGCTGGACTGATATTCGCCTTGGAGACACAATCAAAGAAATCTCTGAACAGAACTTTGTCTGAGGTCCACTTTCAGCCCCAGGGGGGCATGGAGGACGCCCTGGCAGCCCATCCACAGGAGGCAGTGTCAGCACCCCGCCCTCTTCCGTGGGGGAAGTCTGTATCGATTTCGCCTCTAAAATCCTATGATGCCGTACTTCCTTTTCTTCTAACCTGAGAGCTTCGAGACAGACATCGCCTGAGGCTGTCACTCCATTCTCAAGCCCTTGATGACCACTGGCCACCTCTGTGTCCAGGGCAGGATACTGCCTCTCTAGTTCAGCTATTTTGGTTCTCAGATCCTCAATAGTCTGTTCCAGCTGCTGAATTACAGTGGCCTGTCCCTCAGACTTCATGTCAACAACTTCCTGAAGGGCGACAAGGACAGACACAGTTAGTTATGAAATAAGGAAAAATGCAAATAGCAAAAAATTAAGCAAAATTATATCTGTTTGTTGTCATACTTCCAGAAGGACTCCTTGACAGAAAGATGGTATTAATATTTCTATGTGTCCCCTGGCTTGCACCCTGAGATTTCAAAGTGGTTAACACACGTGACTTACCACAGAATCTTAAGTCCACATCTGTCTCATTTTCAAATGATACCATTGAGGACAAATAGACCACTGAGAACAGGGAAGAAAGCTCTGAGTGATAAACCAGTTTATTTCTAAGATAGCCTTCTTTCCAGCCTAGGAACACTGGTTTTTAGGATGTTCCCTGAAAACATTTTAAAGGTAATCCCGAATTTTAAAGGTAGTCACTGCTTTTTAAAAGTGATCACTGAATGAGTGTTCAATAATAATATATAAAATATTTTTGATATCCATATGGGCAAGACAAATGCATTATGAGCATGTGCCATACCGCTTATATCATGTTTACTAGAACTTTAATATTTTACCTAGGGTATTTCAGAAAGTGATAACTGACAGTTCTCCACAATTTATAAAGACGGCTGATGGCCAGACATGGTGGTTCACACCTGTAATCCCAGCACTTTGGGAGGCTGAGGTGGGAGGATCACTTGAGATCAGGAGTTCAAGACCAGCCTGAGCAACATAGCAAGACTGCATCTCTCCTAAAAATTAAAAAAATTAGCTGAGCACGGTGGCACACGCCTGTAGTCCCAGCTACTTGGGAGGCTGAGGCGGAAGGACAGCTTGAGCCCTGGAGTTTGAGGTTGCAGCAATCTATGATCACAGGCCACTGCACTGCACTCCCGCCTGGGAAACAGAGTGAGACACTGTCTCAAAAAAAAAAAAAAAAAAAAAAGATGGCTGATAACAACTGGCCAACATATGGGGCACTCTGACATATAAGTGGTGTCTTCCTTTCCTAAAACTCACAATCAACCAGGAACCCTTCAAGAAAAAAAAAACGTTTTGAGTAGAAAGAAGGGCATTGGCCGGGCGTGGTGGCTCATGCCTGTAATCCCAGCACTTTGGGAGGCCGAGGCGGGTGGATCACGAGGTCAGGAGATCGAGGCAATCCTGGCTAACACAGTGAAACCCCGTCTCTACTAAAAATACAAAAAATTAGCCGGGCGTGGTGGCGGGTGCCTGTAGTCCCAGCTACTCAGGAGGCTGAGGCAGGAGAATGGCATGAACCTGGGAGGCGGAGCTTGCAGTGAGCTGAGATTGCGCCACTGCACTCCAGCCTGGGTGACAGAGCGAGACTCCGTCTCAAAAAAAAAAAAAAAAAAAAAAAGGAAAGAGCATTGCCTTCTTAAGGGTAAATTATTTAATATGAATAACAGATGAAAAGAGAGGAAGAAGGAATTGATAGAGAGAAAGGAAGACAAACAAACATAGGAAGACAACTCCCACTTTTGTGGAAACTGCAGTGTCAATCGTACTTTAATTACTGCTCATACAGATGTGGATTTGCTCACTAAAGGCTGGAATAAAAGGGAAAGAGAGGATGAGAGACTTCTTGTGTTGAGAACTATTTCTTCAGTGTTCCAGGGTTTCCTGCAACACTACAGAGTGTTCCAGAGTGTTCCAGATGATCCCCATAGGCCACGGTAAACAGCCATAGGTCCACATGCACACGCTTCTTACCCACCTGGGAGGCTGACACTTATACTCCAGACTTGATTTTTACATATTGTGGAAGAATAATTAACAGGTAATATAAAGATAATATTAAGTATAAAACTAAACTCTTACCCTGCTTGCTAAGGTTAAACTCTGGATCCAAGAAATATCTCCACAAAGTGAAAAGCAAACATCTTCTTTATTAAATCTGAACAGACATCCAACCCATTTGCAGTGGAAAAAATGCAGATGGACAAGACAGAAAGGGTATTTACTACAAATGAGGCATTTTTGGGTGCTATGATAGATGTGATAAAAATCTTTAGGGCACCTTTTTCCCCCCATCTCTATGAAGGAAATGTAAACTTTTTTTTTTGCGACGGAGTTTCGCTCTTGTCGCCCAGGCTGGAGTGCAATAGCGTGATCTGAGCTCACTGCAACCTCTGCCTCGCGGGTTCATGCAATTCTACTGCCTCAGCCTCCTGCGTAGCTGGGGCTACAGGCATGTGCCACCACGCCCGGCTAATTTTTGTATTTTTAGTAAAGACAGGGTTTCAGCACGTTGGCCAGGCTGGCCTCAAACTCCTGACCTCAGGTGATCCACGCACCTCGGCCTCCCAAAGTGCTGGGATTACAGGCGTGAGCCACCGCACATGGTCTAGAAATGTAAACTTAATAGTCCTTCCTTTTTTCCACAACAGAGTCTTGCTACATTGCCCAGGCTGGCCTCGAACTCCTGGGCTTAAGCCACCCTCCCAGCTCAGCAACCCAAGTAGCTAGGACTATAGGCACACACCACTGCACCCTGCTAAATTTAGTAGTCTTAATCCTAACCTCTGTTACTTCTTCCCTGGAAACTATATCTTTTGCTACAACATTTAACTTGCTGAAGGTCAATCATGATGTTTGCTGACAGCTGAAGACAACCAGTAATTTAGAAACACAACCCCTACAAAGGGTTGATTTCCTTAATTTTCTATTGTTAAAAAAAAAAGAAGTAGCCCTTACTATGAAAGGAAACTGAAAAATAATTGACTTTTCAACTAATAAAGGAATGTAACACACTTTCATAGGCAAGATTTTTGAGAATTTATATGTTATTCAGGCATATATACACACACATACACACTCTCCCCTTAAAAGCTCATTATTTTTCACCAACATCTACACAAAAGACTAAAGTATTTGTAATGCACAGTTTGTATTTTGTGTATTTTGTGTTATGTATTTTGTGGGGAAAAACTATATTGCCATGTAGTTTTTAAGTAGCCCATAGTGGGAAAAAAAATAACCTTTTTTTATTATTTAATTTTATTTTAAGTCCTGGGATACATGTGCAGGACATGCAGGTTTGTTCCATAGGTCAACGTGGGCCATGGTGGTTTGCTGCACCCATCAACCCATCACCTAGGTATTATGCCCAGCATGCATTAGCTGCTTATCCTGATGCTCTCCCTCCCCATACTCCTCCTAAAAGGCCCCAGTGTGCCTTGTTCCCCACCTGTGTCTATGTGTTCTCACTGTTCAGCTTCCACTTATAAGTGAGAACATGTGGTGTTTGATTTTCTGTTCCTGTGTTAGTTTGCTGAGGATAACGGCTTCCAGCTCCATCCATGTCGCTGCAAAGGACATGATCGCATTCCTTTTTGTGTCTGCATAGTATTCCATGGTGTATATATCCACATTTTCCTTATCCAGTTTATCATTGATGGGCAACTGGGTTGACTCCACGTCTTTGCTATTATGACTAGTGCTGCAATGAACATATGTGTGAATGTATCTTTGTAACAGAATGATGTATACTCCTTTGGGTACATATCCAGTAATGGGGTTGCTGGGTCAAATGCTATTTCTGTTCCTAGGTCTAGGAATTGCCACACTGTCTTTCACAATGGAACATAACCATTTTTAACATCCTGTATGGCCACTATACATAATTCCATTCTCCAATTGTATGATGATAGTGAGTACAAGAAGAAACCAGAAGCCAAAAAACCAGCACCCAAATTTATCTTAATAAGGAGTACAATTAGTATTTCTGACTGGATTAGTAAAATGCACAGATCATTTTCGTTTTTCCAGCATACTCTTAAAGGTGACCTTTAATCATTAAAAGGTATTTCTTGAGTTATGCTGGTACATAACTAGGGTTTTCTTTTTTCATGAACTATGATTATATAAAAAGGTTAGTTGATAAATAGCATGTAAGAAGTAGATTCTGGAGGAGTTTTCCAAAACTCAGTTTGTAAATGTTATTGCCTATGCCAGCTCTGTTTCATCATAAATTTGAATATAATGAAAATAGCATAAAATTAAAGGATATTATTATATAAACACATACACACACAGAGGAAAAAGTGATTCTGATGAGGCACAGTGGTCATGCCTGTAATCCCAGCACTTTCCGAGGCTGAAGTGGGAGGATCACTTGAAGCCAGGAGTTCGAGACCAGCATGGGCAACATAACAAGACTTCATCTCAACAAAAATGGAAAATAAATAGCCAGGTGTGGTGGTGTGTGCCTGTAGTCCTAGCTACTTGAGAGGCTGAGACTGGAGGAGCACTTGAGCCCAGGAGTCCAGCCTGGGAGACAGAGTGAGACTCTGCCTCTAAAAATATAAAAAACAACAATAGTAATAAAAAGAAAATGATCCTAATAATGGCCTAGCATAGTAACAATTATTACACCTCTTTCTACATGGATTTCTGCCCCACATCACAGGCCAGCTAGTTCCACATGGCACCCAAGTTAGTGGTAACAGAGGTCATAATACTAGTGACTGTGAAGATTCCTGGGATTTTTTTTAACCTTTCTAATTTACATAGCCAGTCAAAAATGTAACTGCATCATTACACATGATACCCAGTACCAGAAAAAGATCTCTTAAGTAGAATCCACTTAAATTTTCTTTTGGTTACCTTGGATTGGCTCTCGCAATCTCCATCCTCCCCTTCCCGTTTACAGAAATACAAAGAAAAACTACATTTGCAGACTCCCTTGCAGCTAGATTCATCCAATTAGATGCAACCACACAAAGATTTAGAAAGTCGAATGAGGTAAGGATCATATTCCCGTGTCTGGACTGCTCTGTTAGCAGTTAAGGTCTGAAAACAAAGCTTCTCTACAACAACATTCAAATGTCCACTCTACAAATTGCAATGGTGGCCTCAAAAGTTTTAACTCCCCTGATAATCCAGTTGTATTTGATTTCTTTGAAAAGTGTCACCTTAGACACAGATGCTTCAAACCTTCCAAACTTCCCATAAAACACCTGATTTTATAGTAAACACTTCTGTTTCATGCACCTAGCATAGTTTCCAGTTCCTGCAAAAGGTCTGACTGATATACCCAGGTACCAATACTTCAGAATAAATTATGAAAAAAAGATTCACTTTTTTTCCATAAAAAAGAAATTAAAAATTAAGTAAGGGTGTCATTTTAATTTAAAACAATTTTTATCATAATGGAAAGATGCACAAATTATTAAAATTAAAATTATTTTCAGTGCTAATTTTTAACAAAAATATATGGTGCCATGATATATGACATCATATCACCTTTTATGAAAAGATGGTCCTTTTTTGTAGTATTTGAGAACCTCATTAATTTCCCCAAAGGCCTCTGACAATCCTAATATGCAAATTCATTTTTTAAATACATCTGTCACATCATCATTCTTACTGTATTAGCTAACTCCACGAGGTGCTCACAAATCAATTACAGTTCATGCAATTCAAGTTCTCCACCATCACCTTCTCTGACTTCAAGAAACCCTCCAACTTCTGCATGATTAACAAGTTCACTTTATGCTGCATTTGTGTCATGTGGTTTAAAACATCCAAAAATCATTGATAAACTGACCCTGCCAAACTAAAGGATGGTGGATAATAACAGATGGTCTGTGTTAAAAGGAGAGGGATTTGGGGTTGGATCTACTTTTATAAATGATCAATTTATTAGTGCGTAACAGAACAATTTCTGTTATGTATTTTATTTATTTTTTAAACAACTTGATAATTGAGGGTACTTAGATAATAAAAAGTTGAGAAAATAAAGAATTGATATACCCCATAAGCTTCAAAGGTTTTCAAATGTAAGATACAATAAGAACCAGAGCTAACAAATGGCAGAGGAAGTAGTGATAAGAGGACAAAATTCCAAATCTGAATCTTTAATAAATATAGCAATGCTAGCCTTGTGGTGCCAGGAAGGTGGAAGAGTCAAAAAATTCATAAAGATGATAACAGACTGCAAAGATGAAAGACTAAAATTTTTATAAACAGAACTTTTTTGTACAGATCATTTTGATAGAAGAGAACATGGAAAAAGAGTTGGGGGCAACAAACTATCTGCTTCTTACATTATTCCCACTGTAGAGAGAACAAAAAACCAACCTGCTAGAATCTTCATTCTCCCTATGACCTATCCTTACCTGCACCCTAAAATCCCGACCGGCCCTGTATTAATGTTACAATCCCCCTTTTCTATTCCACACAAGCAGAGCAACTAAGCGCATCTCAAACCTTAACTGACTAGCCTGTAAAATAAGGCCACCAATCCACTACTACAGAGTAGCCAAATGTATGTAGGATTTGGGGCTCTGAATTTAGCTGAGAGTCTTCAAAGAATCTTATCTGGCCTTCCTTATCCAGGGCTATCAGTCAAGGGCCGGCTGGCTCTCAGAGAGTACCAGTTCAGAAAGTCAGCTGAGATATTTCCTGTAAAGCGCTCTAGAGAAAGCTCCATTGCTTGTCAGAAGTAAGAGCTGATTTCTAATATAGGTTGTTTTCTTTCAGGGATTTATAAAGAAATTTACATGGCAGATATTAGTAATTATCAGGAAAAAGGGCCATTTTCTTGCCATTTAAGCAAACACCCTACTCTCAGGACCCACACAAAGTGGAATGAAGCTCTGGGGGGCCCACCCTCCCACACAGCCTAGATTTAATCTCGAAGAGACTGCCAGGCGCTCTGTTGTCCGTGGAAAGCCCTCCAGTTAGGAGCCTGTTCCTCTGTGTCCAGCGCCTGGAACTTAATCTTGTCTCTTCAGGGTGCAGCTAGATAGAGCCTATCAGATTCTCAAAGGACTTGACAATGAAGAGATACACTTTTCATTATCTTTAGCCTTCTACAGTTTTCAGAAAGACTCTCACTCAGCATTTCCAGTGATTGTGCAACAGTTTACGGAAAGCTAATGGCTTTTCCTATCAAAAAATTTAAATACATTTTGTTGTAAAAAAAGAAAAAGAGAAAAGTAAGCTTGGCAATTTTGTACAGAACCTATATAATGGATGCATCCTTATAAATGGAGGAAGGTTAAATCTATTTTTAGTTCGTCAATACAATAATTAATATGCTTTATAGATTACCAATTTTGAGATTATTTGTACTTTAAAATACTGTTTCAAAACCCTAAATCATAAGTGGTAGAGTCTGCCATCTACGTTGGCTCAATAATTATATACAGTAAGTCAGCCAAAATTCCTCCATTCCTGTATAATCTTATATGTGGGTGGTGATGGTTAGCTCTTATAAATTGTTTGAACACTTGCGTATCACATAATACAAGTTTCCATTAAAAAATAAAATGTTCACCAAAAATATTTTTCCAAACAGAAGATTATCTGATTCCCAGAAAAAGAAAACATTACTGTAACATTAAGGTTACAACTGTCAAAAAAGAAGCCAAGATACACTCAAGTAAAGCTTTTGCTGAAAAGTTAATTTGCTCATCTTTGAAACTTTATTATGTTTATTATGTAAGCAGGATACTTTTAAAGCCTAGAATTTAAAAGCTGCTTATTGGTAAGTTAACGCTGTAATAATTTATTTTATAAATTTTAACATGAGATATATAATTAATTTTCTACCATATTTAGATTTTTCAAATTCTGCTAAATTCTAAAGCAACATTACTGGCAGGTTAGGATACCTCTAGACATCTGTAAAATAGGAATTCTGTTCTTCACAGAAGCATATAAATTCTCTATTTGTCATATTGTTTTTTGTTTGTTTGTTTTTTGAGACGGAGTCTCCCTCTGTCACCCAGGCTGGAGTCCAATGGCACGGTCTCGGCTCATTGCAACCTCTGCCTCCTGGGTTCAAGCGATTCTCCCTCATCAGCCTCCCGAGTAGCTGGGACTACAGGCACAAGCCACCATGCCGGGCTAATTTTTGTATTTTTAGTAGAGATGGGGTTTCACTATGTTGGCCAGGCTGGTCTCAAACTCCTGACATCGTGATACGCCCACCTCGGCCTCCCAAAGTGCTGGGATTACAGGTGTGAGCCACCGCGCCAGGCTGTCATGTTCTAAATTAAGAAACATCCTAGTTTTGGAACAACCAATGGCATTCCAGTTTATAATATGTTAACATCTGCTACACATGATCCCATAGGGAAAGAGATCGAGGTGTTATATAGATATAATTTTGCACAAAACTAAAATACAAGCAATTTTAAGTTTGAAAGGGAAATTTCAAGAAAGAATATTAGAACAGATGGCAAATGGTAAATAACTTGCCTAGGGCTTTTTAAAATAGAACATATTATGGGAAAGAGCCTCACACAGGGAGCTGAGATGGCATCTCTAGAATCCTTAGTATAAAATACATGATGAATTATGGAAATTATAATATTTCTGAACTGGAATGGACATGGCAAATCTCTTTCCATTCCTTCACGGATGACTGAGAAATGTGATATGGAAGGAAGAGGCGTACGTTAGAAATCATACTTGGCTGTATTACTTTTAACATCTCTTTAGAATGGGAGCTGATACGATGGGAAGGTTAAAGTAATGATCTTTAGTGAACAAACACAGTGGAAGCAATAAACATTTAGGGAAAAAAGGGAGATAAACAGCAAAAAGAACCAGCCTTTTTGGTTCCTGCTCACATATTGAGAAGTTTCTTTCTACTTATTTGAGCTAGAGTTGCAGGAGGTACTGGACCATACTTTAAAGCAATCTATCCCTTAATTGTCTCAAGTAATGCAAGGAAGGAAAGCACTATTTTATTCCAGCTTCACTTTCCTTGAATGATCTATGGATGGAAAGTGCAGCTCAGTTTTTTACCTCCTAATCGCCTCCCTTGCATTAACACCCAACTGTTCTCAAATATCTTTTTTTTGGTGTTTGTTTTTTCAAGAAAAATCTTCCTGGCCAGGCACAGTGGCTCACGCCTATAATCCCAGCACTTTGGGAGGCTGAGGTGGGTGGATCACCTGAGGTCAGGAGTTTGAGACCAGCCTGGCCAACATGGTGAAACCCTGTCTCTACTAATAATACAAAAATTAGCCAGGCGTGGTGGTGCATACCTGTAATCCCAGCTACTCTGGAGGCTGAGGCAGAATTGCTTGAACCTGGGAGGTACCCAGGTTCCTTAAAGTGCATCTGAGGGTACAGGAAAAAACCTAACCACAATGCTTTCCCTATTCTCTCACTCAACAATGAAAACAGAGGACTTCTGTGACCTCTATCATCAAAATGTGCAAAGATTTCGTCCCTCCAGCAAGCAATCAATTCTATTATAGACACCAGATGAGTGTCCTCTAATTCAAATCAATTCTAACACTATCTACCTGGAGGTAGCATCAGGTCCCACAGGTTGAGGGCTCAGTCCTCAAAACTGCCCCCACTTCATATGCAAGCCACAGGTCCAGGCCTCTAGGAACTTCTGACCAACTGGCTATAAATCCAGGATCCCTCCACCCCCTCCGCAGGTTCAATGTGTTAGACCAGCCCACAGAACTCAGGGAAACACATAACTTTTGCTGACTTACTAGAAGGGATGTTACAAAGGATGCAGATGAAGAGATGGATGGGGAGAGGCTTGGGAAAAGGGGAGCACCACCCTCCGGGAAAACCATGTGTTCATCAGCTATCTGGAAGCTCTCCAAATCCCATCAATTTTGGGGGTTTTAATGGAGGTTTCATGATGTAGGTGCGATTAACTACATCACTGGGCACTGGTGACCAACTTAACCTTCAGCCCCTCCCAGTTCCCGAGGCTGGGGGGTGGGGCAGAAAGTCCCAACCCTATTACTATGCTTTGGTCTTTCTGTGGACCAGCCCCATCCTGAAGTTACCAGACAACAAACAGTAGCATATAAAAAGACACTTAACCTCTTCGAAGATTCCAAGGATTTTAGGAGTTGTATGCCAGGAGATGGCAATTAAGACCAAATGTATGTTTCATAATATCAAGCATCTTATCCTCCAACAAAATACTCCTTTGCCTGTCCTGTAGTTTACCTAGGCTTGGGAACATCTTTCGATCATTTCTCTAATTCATTGTCTCTTAAGCTCAATGTGCACCAGAATCGCCTAGAGGGTTTGTTAAAACACAGATTATTTGGGAGGTCGAGGCCGGCGGTTCGCCTGAGGTCAGGAGTTTGAGACCAGCCTGGCCAACACAGCAAAATATTGTCTCTACTAAAAATACAAAAACTTAGCTGGGCATGGTGGCAGGTGCCTGTAATCCCAGCTACTAGGGAGGCTGAGGAAGGAGAATTGCTTGAACCTGGGAGGCGGAGGTTGCAGTGAGCCGAGATCATGCCATTGCACTCCAGCCTGGGCAACAAGAGCAAAACTCTGTATCAAAACAAAAACAAACAAACCAAAAAACACACACAGATTGCTGGGCCCCACCTCCACAGTTTCCAGTTCAGTAGGTCTGGGTAGGGCCTGAGAATCTGCATATCTAACCAGCTCCCAGTTGATACTGAAGTCTGCAAACCACACAGCCTAATTTATACCCTAGACATGGTTACCAAACCCATCATTTCAATTCTTGGTTGCCACTTTTCCTGTATCACATCAGCACCTTAGCTGAGAAGTAATGGAATTACTTTGAGAGTTTAATAGCTGGTCCTAACTGGCTCCACTCTCCCTCTTCCTATCATTCTACATTCCCTTGCCAGGTAATTGTTCCTTAAACTGTCTTGCTCATTCCTCAAAAACTCATGGCTCCCGACTACTGAGCATAAAACGTTTTAAATCCTCTATTAGGCTCATAAGACCTTGAATAGTCCATAAAATGTGGAGACTCCATCACTCACTCTGCCTACTGCAAAAGGATATTGTGAGAATGTTGGGTTTTTGTCTTGTTTTGGTTTTTTCAAGACAGGGTCTCATTCTGTTGTACCAGCTGGAGTGCAGTGGCACAATCATAGCTCACTGCAGCCTTGACCTCCTGGGCTCAGGTGATCCTCTTGTCTCAGCCTCCCAAGTAGCTCATGCCACCATGGCCAGCTGTTTTTTTTATTATTATTGGTAGAGACAGGGTCTCCCTATGTTGCCAATGCTAGTCTCAGACTCCTGGGCTCAAGTGATCCTCCCACCTCAGCCTCCCAAAGTGCTAGAATTTCAGGCATGAGCTACCACACCCAGCCTTATTGTGAGAATTTAAAAAGATACAGTCAATTCTTGTTATTCACAGTAGTTTTGTCCTATAAAGTCTTTGTGAACATCAAATTAGTGAATACTGAATATTGCTTCTAGAAAAAATACAGGTTTAGATTCCTGCAAGCCCCTGGTCACATTTTTGTCAACCAATCAATGCATTACCTTTTTTAAATGTGTGTTCCTGCTGAAAGACACTTTATTTAATATATATTGCTGATTTACTATGGCCAACAGCAGCATCACTGAAGCCTGAACAAAGCTTATCTGACATGTGTTTTTGCCACAAGGCACATCACAGCCTTCTTGCACGTAGGAACATTAGACAACACGGCAGCTCTATGCCTGGAGGCAATTTCGAACAGTAAAACCAACAAGAAAAAGCACAAAAACATGAAAAAACAGCCACAAAAACACTCTTATTTACAGAATGAGAGCTGAAAGAAGAAAGCAGAGCTTCACCTCATTCAACATCAGCTGGGAAAGTCCACGTCAAGCAACTCAAATTTCTTGCCACTTGGAGCGTGTTTGTGATTGGCCGTGAAAGCACCATATGAATATGATTTGGGGGCTCCAAATAAATGTTAGCAAGTAGGTGAGTTCGCAAATACATGCAAATCCAAGAATAATGAGGACCACCTATGCAATGAAAGCAACTTTCAAAACCAGAGTATTGCTCAACTATAACAACAATAATGATAAAGAGCTAACATTTTGAGTGCCAGGAACTCCTCCAAAGCATTTTACATAAATATATTTAAAACTCACAAAAAAAAAATGTAGAGATAGGAATTCTTATTATACCCATTTTATAGATGAGAAAACTAAGGCACACAGAGTAAAATGCTATTCTTAAATTCTAACAAAGATTCTCTTCTTGATCAAGCTCTAGCCAGGCTCCTCTGAGCCCTCTTCTCAACTAGGCCTTAGCCTTGGCCTGTAAAGGCTTGAGCAAACATTAACATAGTTTCTACCAACTAAAGGCTGCATCCCAAAGATAATCCTACCGCTCTTTAAATTACTGCCTAAGAAAACTCAAGGCTGCCAAAACAACTTACTGTTTCAGCCTTCACCTGAGGATGGGGCCTCTTTCCTAGTCTCTGGCGGAGGACAGACTCCTAACTTATAACTGCCAGTTAGTAGACACAGCTGGCCTAATCTCATTTACACTAATGAACCCTTGCAGTTTTTCACTTCTGAGTCTCCTGAGCCTCCACTCACCCTTCTCCCTATTCCTTTATTCTCCCTTTAAAATGCTTGGTCACCTCTGTACAAATCAAAGTTGAGTTTAGTTCACGCTGGACTCTTCCCTAGCGCAATAGTTGCCACTGATATAAAATCTGTCCTTACCATTTTAACTAATGTCTGACTTTGTTCATCTTTGACAGTTCCCCAGTTAAAAGTGGAATAACTGGGATTTGTGCCCAGGAAAACTGGTCCAAAGCCCAGATCCTCAACCACTATGGTATGAATATAAGCAAATGTTCTACCACTCCTGAAATGCACCCTAGACTGAGTCTTCTCAAGTCCAGTGTCTAGAACAAAATCAAGTTTAGACAAATTTAGATTAAAAAATAGAAGTAGATTTTTAAAAAGAGGAGTGCAGAAGAAACATGTATAAGACAGATATGAAGGATCCTAAAGATTAAAAAAACAACAACAACAACAAAAAACAAACAAAAACAAAACAAAACAAAAAAACTAGTGTATTTTTTAGGGTTGGAACAAGCCAGCCAATCATACAGGAAATAGTGAGTGATAACGCTGAAGACTGAGGATGGCAAGGGAAAACCCCATGTGTCAAACTCAGGAGTCTGAACATTTTCTCAAATGCTATGAGCAGTCACTGGATGAGTCTAAGCAGATATCAGACATCAGCAAATTTGGATTTTAGAAAGATAACTCTGGAGGCATTGTGGAGGAGAGATTAGAAGGGTTAAGACTGGAAGCAGAGAGACCCATCGGGAGAATACTGCAGTAATCCAGATAAGACTGGGCTCTGGGTTAAGGCACTGTCAGGCTGCAGGCCAAGGAGGCCCGGGAGAAGGAAAGCAAAACCTGGGTCTCCAGGGCAGCTGCCAGCTGAGCTGCCTCTCAGGTCACCTGGACTATTGCGCTTCTCCCTGGCCCCACACCCAGTGCCATGTTCACTTCCAATTTTCTACCTTTACTCTCTTCTCTGATCTGAAATACTCACTCTTCTTCCCTCCATCTATCCAAAAATGACGATTTGATCTAAATTTCACCCTTCCTAAGAAATTGCCCTTAATTGTAGTCTCTCAACAACCTTCACCCTTTTTGTTAAGTTTATCTTGGCAGAATTACATTGCATCTCGCAAATCATTTCATGTACGTGAAAGAGGTATGTTCTTCTAACTGTCTGCTTCTTAATACCCAAGATTTTGTCTTATAATTCTTCGTATTTCCTTCAATATCTACCACAAATACCTTGCACACAGTAGGTCAGCAGATGTTCAATAAAGGACAAGCCTCCTTTATAAGCAGAGAACTTTTATCAGCTCCACGACCCCCATTGGATTAGCTGCTTGGACTGTTTGCCTTTCTCCACAGGCCATTAATAATGTTGCATAGTGCAAACTAGTTTTACACCATCTAAAACTCAATAGAGCAAAGATATTACTTCATTTCACCCCCAAGCCTGACCACCCCAAGGAAAAACAAAAACAATCTGTGACATCCAATTATTTCTTCACATTCTCATCTCAAGTTCTAACTGCTTTCCAGATGTTAGCTGGTTTTCATTCTTAAAACTCATAGAAGAGTTTCTTTTGTGATTATTTCTAAGCTAAAACGTCTATATTTTTCTCTGAGCTCCTTGGAGTTTCTACAGAATAAAAATTATTCCCACACCAAAAAAAAAAAAATCCTTTCTTTCTCTTAACATAGTATGGTGAATACCTTTCAAAATGTTACCTATCTTCAATGTCAGCACTGCCCTAAGGGTATCCTGTCTTCTCTTCCCTTCCTAACCATCTCTCGCTTGCCCCTTCCCAGACTCATTAGGTCAGAGTATTTAGTGGTTAAACTATTTATTGAGGACCTAAGAATGATTAGACACTGAGGAAGACTTCAAGGATGACTAACTCATGGTTTCAGACCCAAGTATCTCTCTCTCTATCTCCTTTAAGACTTGTATTTCTTACTCCGCCTTATTTTAGTTATTTACTTGTCTTGTGGGTTATTGTTTTGTTGGTTTCCAATTACTTTGCAAATTCATATTACCTTTTGCCTTGGAGTTGAGAAAGACCTCATACTCAACAATGTTTCTTTAGAAACTTTCTATATGTCTAAGACATTCTACCCCAATTCAAATGGCTTGTTTTATTAAGTCTCCAGCATTATTTCTTCAGAATCACTTTTACTCCACTTTCTTTTGATCTGACCAATGCTTCTTTTGCTCTTCAAACTTTGTTTCTGAGTAACCAAGACCATCCACAAGGCTACTCCACATTACTCCATCTGTTTCCTTGACTTGTTCCTAAATTATTTCTGAAACTAATGGAACTGAGTGGCCACTGCATAAAGAGTACTATAACAGATACTTTAAGGAGATCCAGTAAAAAAATATTTACTTCTTCAAATAAATTTGCAGTTAGATTGGGCAATGAGGGGACTCGGTAGGGCTGATCAGAGCAAAGCGTTTTTCTGACACTTGAGAATTTATTTGCATATAGATCATACAACATATGGGGGAAGACAGTGCTGATATCGTCTAATTCCTTTTTATTGTCTAGCACTTTGTAATAGATGTGACTATTGATAAATGATAAATATTATAATGTTCAAAGACCTGACTTTCAATTACCTGTTATTTTCAATTCTTACCCAAAGCTAGAGTTTTTAAAAATCAAAATGTTATTCTATTTCCCTTCCAGCTAGTCCATGTATATTAGAAAGATACCAAGAGTTTTAGAAAAATGCTTTGAAACAAAAATTGTATATATAATTTCAAAAGCAAAAAGTTAGAAACTAGGTGGCTACCAGGTGAAGCATGTTACCATACACCAATCTTTAACTTAGAAGCAAATGTTCTTAGATAAAATAATTGACACTAAGCTATTATATACTACAGAGTATAAAAGGCTTTACAGTTTAAATATTTCAAATGGCAAAGATTTTAATAAACAGAATCAAAAGACAGTCGCATTTCAGTTTTATGACATAATTCTTCAGATAGAGCAGATTTTCAGAGCATATTACTTGAAATTAAAATAATCAGTAAGTGAGGTCTCAAGAATGTAATTTTATTTGAAAACCTAATTCCACAGGGTCATCAATAAAAGCATTCAAGGAGTAGCTACAGTCCGTTCTTTTCACTTGAGTGCCAGCTGTATTTGCTTTAAGCATCAGACTCTCTGGCAACACCACAGCCTTCTACTCCTGTGAGTTGAGGAAAGGCTTTATGAGTCATGTGTTTTTTCTAGGGATATCGCACTCTCAGAATTATTAACTACAGAAAGAGTAAAAGTCAAAACTCATTCAATAAATTCCAATGTGCTCAGATTGAGAGAACAGGTGTCTGAACACACATCTGAAGAATAACTTAGAGAGGATGCTTTCCAACTCGGCTGCAAGCCTCTGACTAAGCAGTCCTGGGGATCTCACATTACGACCACAGAAGAACGCAGGCAACGCTGATGGACCAGAAAAATCTCTTAGGTTCATCATTCATACTGAGAAAACTGCCTTCAAACCTCTCATTTCCAGCTGCATTTAGAGATACAGAACTGCCATCTAGTGACTAAGAAGGAAAAAGCAAGGACTTTCCATGAAAAATAATTTTTTTTACATAATAACAAAGCACTAAAGTTAGTAAAATTAACACAACTTAGCACATCAAAGTTCTAGTAAAACTTCAAAATGTATAAGTGAACTAATATACCTATTTGCCTCTATAATGTATCTGGACATCCAACTGATACATGGTAGAGTTTACATATAATAAAATAAATTTAGAATCTCATCTCATTCATCTGACGATTTTGGCATCGGGTGATTACCCATGTAAAAGTATAATTTTTATCATAGTATAAGTATAAAATCAAACAGATCTGTACTCAAATAGCGAGCCTACCCTTTATCAAGTTTGTGATCTGATGCAAGTTATTTTAACTCATATAATCATTTTCTTTAGCAGTTAAATGCGCATTATAATAGTTACTTTAAAGGATTATTGTGAGGATTTCTTAAGGTAATAGAGTAAAAGAACAGGTATACAGTAGGTTGACAATTAATTTGAGTTTTCCCTATCCCCTTTACGGCCAGTTACTTTAGCCTGTCATGAAACATATCCATATCATCTAAGAAAAGAATCAGCCCGTAAAATAAATGTATGACAAAGAGTTAATGATTCCAAAAGTAAGTGATGTCATTGTCGGGTGCTTAAAATCGATTGCTTCCAAATATTGTTCCCTCTCAATTAATTTTCCTGACTTCCAGACACTTCACTGTCAACAAGGATAAGATGTAACATTTATTCAATCTATTTCACCCTTGAGTCTTCAAGTTGTAAAATCAAGTGTTTTTAAATAACCTACTCCATTAGGTTTTCTGCTTATTGCAATATATTTTACCATGGTCCATCGCTCAGGAAAAACACTATAATGTTACACACATGAATATGTATCTTGAAATAGCATAATATAGAAAGCAATGCTGTACATGTTTTATCATTGTTGATATTATCAAATACTTCCTGTTCAGGTTCTCTTTGACATTATCGTATGTAACAATTGATTCATATACGTCCTGAACATAAGAATTTAGAAAAACTTAATGTATCCCTTTAAATCACAATTTAGCCATGCTTTCCACACCAAAAAAAAGGCTTAAAAAGTGAGGGAAGATTTGAGGGTACTATCTTTCTTAATAACTGCTGACTTTACTATTTCTTTTTACCTTTTTATCTTTCTTTCTCTTATTCGCTGTGGGCTAATCATTGCAGATAATTAAGGAACCATCAGTTGAGCCCACCGTGCCTCTCCAAGTGCCACCAAGTTGATGTAGCCCTCTGCTCCCATAACAATAAGCTGGAAAAACTTGCTTTTTCAATGAACTGTCCTTAAGGATAGCTAACCTAGCCGCATTTTTGAAAAGCACCCAGGTGCTGTTTTCAACCAATGTTGTACCCCAATTTCTCCTCCAGGGGGAGCACAACTTTCATGTATAACACAGGGATTCTTTTCTAAAGGGAAGTTACTTTATTTGATGAGTTATCAGAGATCAGCAATAATTTAATTTTACAGAGAAGAACCCTATGTCCCAGGTAATCTAAGCTTGTTGTCATCACACTAATCAGAAATAGATCCGGGTGTAAAACCCAAGTATGTGTCTCCTCATTTTCTCCTAGACCACCAACAGAACAGAACACATCTTTTTACTGTTCATTTCTAATACTAAGTTACTGACAAAAGCATAGTTGGGTGAAAATGTAAATTGGTTTGTAAGCAATGGTTTTATATCCAAAAGAGCAATTGCTATCCACAATTACTATTCCATACACGTTTCCTTTCTTGCAGTTTTTTTTTTTTAATAAGAAATCCATTTTAGCATAGCTTGCATTTTAGCGTAAGAAAAAAAAACCCACAAAATTTGGCTTCTTTGGTAACTGATATGGTTTGGCTCTGTGTCCCCAGCCAAATCTCATCTTGTAGCTCCCATAATTCCCACATGTTGTGGGAGGGACCTGGTGGGAGATGACTGAATCATGGGGGCTGATCTTTCCCATGCTCTTCTCATGATAGTGAATGGGTCTCACGAGATCTAATGGTTTTAAAAATGGGAGTTTCTCTGCACAAGCTCTTTTTTGCCTTCTGCCATCCACATAAGATGTGATTTGCTTCTCCTTGCCTTCCACCATGAACTTGTGAGGCCTCCCCAGCCATGTGGAAGTGTAAGTCCAATAAGCCTCTTTCTTTTGTAAATTGCCCATTCTTGGGTACACCCTTATCAGCAGTGTGAAAACGGACTAATACAGTAACAGAAAAAAAATAGTTTCCTGGAAATTAAACAGATACTAATTAATGTTTCATCCACCAAAGTAATAAGAACCTTATTTGACTTTAGCAAAGCTCTGACAGATTTCTTTTTAAAGATCATAGCCATGGGACTGTTTGAGCAGGCACATCTCGCAGACTTCTCCCTGGAGTGGCCACCGTTTCCTGCTGGAGCCCGCTGTTATTGGGCCCAACTCTTTGGCTGGATATAGAATAAAACAGCTTCTGAAAAGCTTGTACTCAGTTCCATTTCAAGGCTGATTTTGTATGCAAAAAATAAATGGAAGAAAACATCCCCTTCTGCCTGACTGGATTCCACTGCAGGCTTAGGGAAAACAAGGGCATCCTAGCCAGCCGGGCAGATGGAAAGATAAATCGCAGAGTCTGTCACAATCTTAAGACAAATAAGACAGATGGGAATCTGACATCCTAATAAGATCATCTTACCTTCTGGACAGCATCTGAGCGTTTTTGGGGAGTTTCTGAAACAGCAGATTGAGATTCTAGATTGGAAAGGAAGCAGACAGTCAGTATCTTAAAGGACAATTTTCCTATTTCTTCAATCAGAAAATAAAACTTTCACTAAAATATATCATTAACCATAAGTACCAAAAAATATCCAGTCTCTCTTCCAATTATATAACTGGGTTATTAGGATATGACTACTTTTCAATATATATAATACATACAATGAGAATGCTCATGTCATTTTTAAAAATTGGGATATTCCTATGCCCTTCTCTATATATCAACTATCCTTATTTGTCTCGATTGCTAGTTTCTAAATTGTGCCAGAAAGTCCTTCTAAGACTTTCACAGATTATATTATTCACTTAGCTGAAGTCTGTATCACGATAGAAGCCACTTCACCAAGGTTGAAGGATGGGAGCTCAAAAGCCTCATCTAACTGTTGTCAAATTGCCCCTTGATTTCAACAAGAGATAACGAACACTGTCACCAAGAGACACTGAGTAAGAAGGGATTCTGAAGCAGTTTTTCTCTTTTAGTCCTCATGTCATCTGAGATTCTATGAGACTGCAAATTCATCATTCTAAAAAGACCTAAGGCATAACCAAGTCAGGGATTTCTTTTCGTAAGCGAGAGGGCACTTTCTTCTAAGTGAAGCTTGTGTGCAAATTTAAAAATAAAAGGGCCTTTAGGATAAAAATAAAAATGAAAGGGCCTTCAAGGAATTCCTCATGCTCCATGAATCAGAGCCTGAAAAACCACTAATCTCATCCATCCTCTGCACCTTTCAGATGAGAAATTCAAAGCCCATAATGCAAGTGGTTGTTGGCAAGGTGAAGACGAGAGTTTATATCTCCTGACTGTCGCGTTGCACCCCTGACTGGCATGCAGACCAGACCCTGGACACAAGGTACAGCAGTCACTGTTTTTGGTTTTGTTTTTTTCTTTTCTTTTTTTTTTTTTTTTTTTTTTGAGATGGAGTTTCGCTCTTTCACCCAGGCTGGAGTGCAACGGCGCGATCTTGGCTCACTGCAACCTCCGCCTCCTGGGTTCAAGCGATTCTCCTGCCTCAGCCTCCCGAATAGCTGGGATTATAGGCACCCGCCACCACACCCAGCTAATTTTTTTTTTTTTTTTTTGGTACAGACGGGGTTTCACCATGTTGGCCAGGCTGGTCTCGAACTCCTGACCTCGTGATCCGCCCGCCTTGGCCTCCCAAAGTGCTGGGATGACAGGCATGAGCCACCGTGCTCGGCCAGCAGTCACTCTTTATGGTCATTTTGACATTTCCAATTTAGCCACATGGTAGCTGATATATGTGACAATGCTACAGAAAAATAAAAGGCATTTAGTATTTAAACAGCTTAACATACTGTTAAGCTACAATGAAAGTTTTCATTTCACTCAGATGAGAATCTGTCTCCACAGGGACCCACAAGGCCTGGTTTCAACTACTGTTACTCCCTAGCCTCTCTACCCACCTCCATCTGTCCCAACTTGCTCACCAGGCCAGCCACCCTGGCCAGCTTACTTGTCTTGTCACACACCAGTCATGCTTCTTCCATAGGGCCGCCAAAGCCACAGTGGCTACTGCCTCTGCCCAGAGCACTGCACTCACTCTTCTTCCCAAAATCTGCAAGCCCCACTCTGTGGCTGCTTCCTTCGGGGCTTTGCTCAAGCAGCGACCCCACCCACTCCTTGGCACTCAGCACACACTCACCCTTACTTTCTTCGTAACCTGGATCATCACACCATATACTCCATAATGCATTTGGTTGCCTACTTATTTATACCTCTTATTCCACTAGAACATAAACTCTGTGAAAGCAAGAATTTTTGTCAGTTTTTCCTCTTGTTGTGTCCCCCACATCCAAATAGTGCCTGGTACTTAGTAGGTGCTTAAAATATTTGTTGAGTAATTGTAGGAGTGAATGAAAGAATAAATGAAAGATCAAAACAATGATAAGAACATGAAAGTGGGTTCCACCAGGAAAAGTGGGGTATCCTGGGCAGAGAAAGAGAGAGTAAGGATTTTACAAGAGACAATATAGATATTGCCTTGCCTTTAGCTATTTTCTGAATCTCAGCTAGGAGTATATATTTTAAAACAAAACTCACTGAGAATAGCATGATGCAGTCACTTACCAGTAAGTGTCACAGTGGCAATAAACAACTGGCCTTAAAATACAACCATTTTCCCAGATAAATATAGCATATCATTGAGCTAATCAAAAATGGATTCTTTTCTCTTATATTGACAAATCTCTACTCTGAACTTAACACCAGAGTTAGCCAAATTTTAATAAAGATCTTTAACAGCAAAGCTAGTTAACAGTTAATATTAAAGCAAATCCAAACTCCGGAACGCTCTCATTTTCTATTGTTTTTCGTCACTTCCAAATCCTCCCAAACACAATAGACTCAAGACAAGTCTTGGCTTTGTACCAGTGGGGAAAAGTCTCTCTTCCTCTTCTATTTAGATCGTGCCACAAGAGCCTAAAGGCTCTCCTGGTGGTACACAAAGAGTTCTTTACATTAGAAATGCATAAAATGCTTTCTAGCTTTGTTCTATAGTCCTTGACCCGGTAACTGGACCCAAAAAGTAAACTTCTGGGCTCTGATGGTAAAGAACAAGTGCAGTTTATCAGAAAAACGTACTTAGAAAACCACATTAGAAAGATGCATCAGCAAAATATTCTGCACACCTACACCCAAACTTTCAGCTCCTCTCTGTCTAATTCAATGGCTACCTGAACTGAATTCATTCTCCCAATCCCATCCCTTTCATTATAGTTTTTATTTGTTTGAATCTGTGTGTTAAAACACAGAAGAGAAATTTGCAGGTTGAAATGCTGTCTTCAAAATCATAAGCTGGAAAATAGGAGTTCTAGAGGGTCAAGATTTTAACATGAAAGAGATGTACAGAATAACTTCACTGAAAAATAAAGGGAAAATAAATGAGAACCACTGGGAGAGAAGAGAAAAATACATGATAAGGAAAAAGAAAACAATACAGAATAAAAGAAAGAGAAGGAAAAAGGTATAGGAGGGAGAAAGAGAAGGGGAAAGGTGTAGGAGGGAGAAAGAGAAGGGGAAGGTATAGGAGGGAGAAAGAGAAGGGGGAAGGTATAGGAGGGAGAAAGAGAAGGGGGAAGGTATAGGAGGGAGAAAGAGAAGGGGAAGGTATAGGAGGGAGAAAGAGAAGGGGGAAGGTATAGGAGGGAGAAAGAGAAGGGGAAGGTATAGGAGGGAGAAAGAGAAGGGGAAGGTATAGGAGGGAGAAAGAGAAGGGGAAGGTATAGGAGGGAGAAAGTAAAGGGAACATGAAAAATGGCGAAAGTGTCCTTTAGGGAGCGGAGAGAAATTGATGTACCAGTAATGGCTGAAGAGTGGAGTCACTAGATAGGTGAATCTGAGATATCAGCCTAGTTCCAACTTTCATAGAGCTCCCTAAATGAAAGTGATCACTCCCGGAACTCCCGACTCCCACGTTCCCAACACTCTCCTCCTCCCAGGATCCAGGGCACTTTCAGGAATTGCCTTAAACCCAGCTCTAGGACAGACTGATCATCTCCATCGAATATTCATCACTAGAATGGTTATTATTTTCAAAGACTAACCTGGTGAGAGAGCTCTCAAGGGTACATTTAAAATGGCCACCTCCTTCACCCATCCTTAAAATTAAGAAACCAGAATGTTCTTAAAAAAAAAAAAAAAAAAAAAACAGGCCGGGCGCAATGGCTCACATCTGTAATCCCAGCACTTCGGGAGGCCGAGGCGGGCAGATCACAAGGTCAGGCCAATACGGTGAAACCCCGTCTCTACTAAAAATACAAAAATGAGCCGGCCTGGTGGTGGGCACCTGCAGTCCCAGCTACTCGGGAGGCTGACGCAGGAGAATCGCTTGAACCCGGGAGGCGGAGCTTGCAGTGAGCCGAGATCGCGCCACTGCACTCCAGCCTGGGCGACAGAGCAAGTCTCAAAAAAAAAAAAAAAAAAAAAAAAGGTTAAATATTCCATTTTAAAAAGTTACCTCAAAATTCCGAGCATAATCTAAAATTCTGGACTCCCTATGGACTCCAAATGTTTCAGGACTGACCTCTTTACCATCACAAAATAAGCCTTTCACTCACGAAACAAAACATACTTGGATGAGCTGTGTATTTACAGAGAGAAGACAGTAAGACAATGAGCGGGATATGCCTCTCAGCTAAGAATGGAAAATAAACCTCCCTTTAAAATATACATACAAAATATGCCTTCTAAAAATGAATGAAGTAGTCTCTAAACAGACATTTTAAGTTAAAATGCAGCTATATAAAATTATTATATTATAGCTTCTTTAATGGTATATACCAGTTTGATTCAAATCCAGTCAATTTAACTGAAACAGAATTCATTAAACTTCATTTAAATAGCATGACTTATGATTGGCTGCCTAATAAATGCAAGATGTTTTTAATTCTGATATACCATGTCTTTCCACAAATGAAGATGAGGTTAAATACCTGAATTTTCCTAAATGAGGCCAATTCCATGATCTGCTTATTTGATTATTTAATAGTACTGAGGCTCTGCCTCTCATTGTCAACAAAATACAGCCACACCTAGGCTCTAGTTAGCGCAGGAGAAAATCAAGGCCAATTTTATGAAAACTATATGTAGGCATGTGTGTGTGTATATATACATGTATGTATACACATACATGCATGCACATACTATGTAATATATAATATTCAATATATTATCTAATTCAATATATAATATATATTCAATTTATATATATTATATTATATAATCATAACCTAATCATATAATATATATATTATATTATATATTTACATGTTGAAAATATGTAATTATTTTTGGGAGACACAGTCAGTCTATTCCAGTACATTTTATTCCTTGATTAAGTGAGGGGCTCAGAGAGATAGAATACTACCAAGTCTCCCCTGGTCCCTTATAGAATTTCTGCATTATCTCAACCGAACTTATGTTAAAACATTTGAACAAAACACAGAAATGGACCAGGCATGGTGGCTCATGTCTGTAATCCCAGCACTTTGGGAGGCCAAGGTGGGAGGATCACTTAAGCCCAGAGTTCAACACCAGCCTGAGCTACATGACAAAACCTCATATCTACAAAAAATTTTAAAAATTAGCTGGGAGTGGTAGCTCACACCTGTAATCCCAGCACTTTGGGAGGCTGAGGTGGAAGGATCACTTGAGCTCGGGTGACGAAGGCTACAGTGAGCCGGGATCATGCCACCATACACCAGCCTGGGTGACAGAGTTAAACCCTGTCTCAAAAAAAAAAAAAAAGAAAAGAAAAGAAATGAGTTGTATTGACATTGCACGGCACAGAATTTCTTCTCTTAGGAACCATTAGAGACACTTCTTTGGGATATTAGTTGTGCTTCTGTGAGTGACTGTGTTTTCAATCTCATGGACACTGAGGAAGACACTCACATTCCCCTTTCTGCTTTGCACCTGAGGGCTAAATTTCCAATTACCTTTAAAAATGGCAGATCCTTATGAGATACATTTCACTTGGCTGTCTTATCTCAGCTTCATTTTATTGTTCCATCCTAAATTCCTTTTCGTTTGATCTATATTCCTTTATGATCCTTTTGTACATTTTACATATTTATAAGCTGCTCAAATCTTTTTTTGGAACAAAGGTGAATTACAATGTATTCAGCCAGTGCACAACTGCATTTTAAAGGATTTTCACATGAAAATCTTCTGCCATGGTTCTTTGTTTCTTTCTTTTCTTTTATTCCTTGCAGTAGGAAGTCAGCTACCATATTTCTACCAGATCCTCTTCCATATATTTTCTTCTAGGATTTTCTGTGCCTTGATTGCCTTTCTAAAAAGTCAGTTCTCTGTTTCCTCTCAGCCATTCACATTTTCAAAGAAAGGGAAGGGATTTAATTTTCCACAGAGGAAACGACAATGATCAAGTCCCTATTCACATCTACACACCTTGCTCCTGCTCCAGGTTCTCCATGAATTTGAAAACTCAAGTTAATTATTTGATGTTGTTCAAATCTATTGAATGACCTTTGAAACTTGGTATTGAGCCCCTAAATTGGTCCAAGAACTGTTTTAGCCCATACAAAACTCTCCCTCAAATCTTGCATTAATGTGCTAAGTAGATGTTTATTTAGATCTTTTCCAGCAAAAGAATTTCATCATTCACTCAAATATTTAAGTACATACTATGTGCCAGAAAGTCTTGAAATTCTGAAAGCTGATGGGGAAGACATGTATATGTATAAACAGAAAAATTCAATACGTAAAGCATTCAGATGACAGAGAGATGAATAGGATGTCATGGGACTCCAGAAAAGGGTCCATGAGTGGGAAACAGCCATGGATGGGTGGGAGACTGCTGTGTATAGCCAAGGGAAACTGAGGGAGAAGATAAAGAGAAAATGATAAATAGAAAGGGTTTCTTTGTATCAATGTTTTTGCCACCAACTGGTTTGGGTTTTTTATTTGTTTAATGCCACCAACATGGGAAGCACATTACTTCCTTTTTTCCCAGCCAGTCTTATCCTTCAGGGGTGTTCTGCAGACTTCAAAAGGTCAATGTTAACACTTTAGGCCCATCTGTGGAGACAATGCCAACTGCAGAGGGAGCCAGGATGAGAACAAAGGACTGCCAGGAATCTGCAACTCACTGGTGAGAAGAGGCACCAAGACCTCACCATGGCCTCAGCCCTTCCAATTCATACAAAGAAGGGTCAGTTCCTTCACCAATCCATAAAGGAGGAAAACACCATCTTTCACAGAACAGATCGTGAAAAAGTTAAAGTGAGATGCTCCCTATGCAGTTAAAGTGAGATACATGAAAAAGGCAGAAGACAGAGTACCACAAATCTGAACTAGCTGGACATGTGAATTGGGTAACCAATTTTAAGAGCTGGAAAAAAGGCCCAGTGCAGTGGCTCACGCCTGTAATCCCAGCACTTTGGGAGGCCGAGGGGAGTGGATCACCTGAGGTCAGGAGTTCAAGACCAGCTGGGCCAACATGGTGAAACCCCGTTTCTACAAAAATACAAAAATTAGCTGGGCATGATGGTGGGTGCCTGTAATCCCATCCCTTTGGGAGGCTGAGGAGGGAAAATCACTTGAACCCGGGAGACGGTGGTTGCAGTGAGCAGAGATCATGCCATTGCACTCCAGCCTGGGCGACAGAGTGAGACTCCAAAAACAAACAAACAACAACAAAAAATGAGCTGAAAAAAACAACGAACGAAGCACGCAGGAAAAAAAAAAGTCCTCAATTTTCTAAGCTAGACCTGCAAGTCTTTCTTCTTCAGAAAATGTCACTGAACTCTTTCACTTTGAATTAAAATAGAAAGGGGTCACCCGGGCACAGTGGCTCATGCCTGTAATCCCAGCACTTTGGGAGGCAGAGGCGGGCAGATCACTTGAGGTCAGGAATTCGAGAGCAGCTTAGCTAACATGGTGAAACCCTGTCTCTACTAAAAATACAAAAATTAGCTTGGCATGGTGTTGGGCGCATGTAATCCCAGCTACTCCGGAGGCTGAGGCAGGAGAATCACTTGAACT
Source organism: Homo sapiens (assembly GCF_000001405.40). Taxonomy (NCBI): domain Eukaryota; kingdom Metazoa; phylum Chordata; class Mammalia; order Primates; family Hominidae; genus Homo; species Homo sapiens. The sequence continues at coordinate 240,180,660 of NC_000001.11, read as the reverse complement.
CAGGAGGCGGAGGTTGCAGTGAGCCGAGATGGCGCCATTACACTGTAGCCTGGGTGACAGAGTAAGAATCCATTAAAAAAAAAAAAAAAAAAAAGGGGTCATGTGTTATATACAGTGGATTTAACCAAGATGTCACTACAGAAGAATGTGCACCTATCAGTTAACTACAAATAGATCATTACTATTAATAATTATATTATCAAACTTTGTGATTGATGTAAAACATGAGACTGTAGGCAAAGGTTACCTATGATACTGACATGCCCACTCTTACAACTGACTGATTAGAAGAGAGTGTGGTATGGTTCTGGGAACGAGGCTGTCTCATGGAAGTGTCTCTCCAAATTTACGTCAGGGAGTCACAACAGAAGAAGTTTAGAAAGACCCATTAGATCACTCTGATGAAAAAATGCTATATGACTGCTGGGGTTTATAGATCAACAAGAGAAAAATAAGTCACTAAGTTAAATTACTTCTTACCTCCATCATCCTCTTCAAGAATGCATTTTTAAAAAGGAGACAAGTTATTTCATTAAAAATCACTTGCTCTAGCATTTTGCAAGCTACATCAAATCATGAAGCAAAAACCAGGTGACAAACTTCCTGGTATCAATTCCAACTATCATCTTTTACCAAACTAAAATTCAGGTTATCACATTCAATTAACTTCGAGTCAAGTGCTCCACCAGTATATATACCAGCAACATAAAATGTTTCATAATGTTTTATAAAGTTCCCTAAAATTTAAGAATATCATATAAATGTTTCAGTTAGAAAAGTTGAGAATGATACAGTAGGGAACAGAAAACATGAAAATATCACCCAATCAATGATGCAAAACATGGGATAAAAGGGCTCTCCATGCAACTGATTAATTCAACTATATCTACCCCTAAGTATTTTGTATCAATAAATGTTATCATAAATAGAGTAGTGTAGAAAATGGGATCAATACTTTTAATTGTGTGTTTTCCTTTGAAAACGAAAAGTCCTTTTACTTGCTTGATTTTCAGGTGCTATCATGTTAGAGGTCTCTGATCTCTGAAGATCTTTGCTTAAAGGAAGTCTGCCTTGGCCTTTGAGAAACTGCTCTCTGTAAGTGTTACGATAAACTCAGTAACCTGGAACAACACTTCCTGGAACAACACTTCCTACACCCTCTCTCTCATTTGTTGTTCATTTCAGGGAGTACAGCCCACCTAGTGAATATCAAACAGTGTTTCAAAAGCACTGGACATCTCAAAAGGGAGATTCAAGGTCAAGTGTGGGCCCTCATTTCAGTGCATCAGTGGAAAGAAAAAAGGCGCAAATTCATTCCTCCAGAGACTGGGATGCAAATGGGAGGCAAGTGCAGAACTTTGGGTGGGGGACTGGAATAAAACCTTTTACATTGTTGGTCATTGTCGGTTGAAAGGGACCTCATGAATAAGGCAATGACATGAAACAATGATAATAATTGTAATAAATAATATTAAATACACGGAGCTAGGCACTGCATTCTACATTCTAATGCTTCATATAAATGCCTATAATTCTCATAACAGCCCTACACAGTACATGCTATGCTCATCACCATTTTACAGATGAGAAAACTGAATACAGTTGTTAGGAAATTTGCCTAAGATTACAAAGCTAATAAGTTGGCAGAGCCCAAGCTCCATGCTTTTAAGTTATGCTCTTCTACTATGCATCCAAAATAAGTTTCTAATGACTGTCTTCCTCTCTATGAGCCAATGAGAAAAAAAAAATCAAAATTCTTAACTCTAATATCTATGTTACCATTTAGGAAAATCGGGTGGAGGAGAAATCTATGAATAGCAATGATGTTCTTCTATTTACTCCTCACTCATGCTTCAGAAATCAATATTTATGCCTGGTCAGTCCACCAGGAGGAAGTTGGGAATTTATTACAACAAAATGAAGAAAAGCCCAGGTGCGGTGGCTCATGCCTGTAATTCCAGCACTTTAGGAGACCGAGGTAGGAGAACTGCTTGAGCCCAGGAGTCTGGATCAGCCTAGGCAACAGAGTGAGACTCTGGCTCTACAAAAAAATTAGCTGGACGTGGTGGTGTATGGCTGGAGTCCCAGCTACTTGGTAGGCTCAGTTGGGAGAATCGCTTGAGCCAGGGAAGTTGAGACTGCAGCGAGTCATGCTCCACTGCACTCTAGCCTGGGTGACAGAGAAAGACCTTGTCCAGAAAAAAAAAAAAAAAGAAGAAGAAGAAGAAGGGGGGAAAAAAGGACAAAACAACCATATTCCATAAAGCATTGATTGTTACACAAATATGGTTCTCAGTTCTGTATGACAAATATAAAGTGTTTTCTTAAAACCAGGCTTGGGGTCATCATCCTGCTGAACTCCTCCAAATAAACCTGAGGCTGATCTCACGCTATCTTCCCAGCCAATAACACAAAATAAGACAACAAAAGGAACAAAGAGAGAAAAGACCCCAAAGTAAAAACTTTTTGAAGATTATATCTGAATGCCATGCAATTAAAAATAAAAGATTACTTAAAACTAAGATTTAATAAAACTTCTCTCTCTCTATCTTGCCTCTTCCAGTTATCTCTGAAGACAAAGGAAAGGGTTACCTGTTTCAGCATCCTCGAGCCTGTGTTCCTCATCGGGAGGTTTGGATGGTGGCCCCATGGATGGAACTCGCCTAGGAAACTGCCCTTCTGAATAGTCCAATGAGTGTGTGGGTTGACTAACTGCAGCCCAGGTATAAAGTTGATCTTGCTATATTTAAAAATAAAAAATGTTGAAATGCTATTAATTCAGTTACAAAAAAATAAGCCATGACTAATACATTGCAAAATCATTTCTATGTAAATTACTTATATATGCATACATATATGAAACATTAAAACAGCATTTTTATACTATTCAGTGTAGATTCCTAAGATACACATTTTTTTCACGCAGTCATTTTATCTTTATAACCACATTTGCCTCAACTTCATTTCTATAGTAAAACCTACGCCTCTTTCTTTGGAGGGAGAGATGCTATGTAGCCCTGCAGGGAATTATAAAATCAGATAGTCCAGACAGTCAATCAGAGAACTCCCTGAACTAGCATCTTTAATTCATCTGAATATGATATCCCTTTTAAAATTGTTTATATACTTGTGGGAATGTCAAAGGACAGGCTGTACTTGGGCACCACAGGACAATAATAGCTCCCGTGCCTTCAACCACAAAAGGCCCAGGAAACCGACTTATCTGGGGTCCAGGTTGGAAACTGGGAGAGAAACCATGAAACAGTGAATGAACCTGCTAAGAAAAAAAAAAAAAAAAAGAATTGAATAGGGATCTTCTGGCCAAGAAAGACCTCGCCAGCTACAGACCAACAGAATCTGGACAGAATGAGAAAGCAGCTAGTACTATACCTAGGGCCAGGAGACAAACTACAAATCTCACAGGGAAGCCTGCTCCATGGCCTATAAACACCTTGGAAAACTGCTCATTAGGATTTCAGAATAACAATGTGTTCAACCATTTTAGGATGCATATGCTCAATATATGCATGCCCTATATTTGTGACATTTTTCTTAACTGGTTGTATTTCCCTAATACCTTTGATCCACATCAAGTAAAGCAAAGAGAAGAACAGTATGGTGGAAGTGAAAAACAAAAAACCACTGTAATCACTGGGTCGAGACTACAAAGTAAATGAGTTATCGGATGGATGTTGCTATTTCTGTATTTAACAAATTAAGAAATTCATAAAATAATCTCCAGCATGAACAGGAAGATACAATGTATAGACCAGTTAGTTTAAGCTTTACATTTAGGGACAGTCATTGGTCCTAACTGAGAATTCAGATTCCTGGGGTTAGCCTCAGCGTTGGATCAGAAAGGACCACATTTCAGACCTGGCTAAGCATTTGAGCTACTCATGTATCTTCCAGCTATCCTATCTCGACCAACACCAGAAACTGCGCTATTTAGCATACTGAATATCAGAAATAGTTTTTCATTGGTGAAATTAGTGGCTTTAATTAACATAATGAATGTTAGACAATGAGCTATCATTGGAGAACCTGAAGGAATTCAATGTAAGTAGATTGAGTACAACATCAGAGAACATCCCCACACTTAAAAAGGATAAAACTCAGGCAAGGGATGATGTCAAGGTGTGACAGCCGGAGAGTGCTACCTCCCACCTCTAGTTTAGGAGGATGTCTCTTTGCCTGTTGCCAACAGTCGGTCACAGAATCCTATTCCTTGGTGTTTGTATCACATGGACCTTTCACACAAGGTGAGGTCAAGCACCTACCAGAGTGGCAAGCTGGCCACGCTCTGACTCTCAAGTCAGCTTGGATAGGCTCTTGTGCAAACTAATGTTGTATGTTTAATAAATGTTTACATGTTGGGCAAAACTTCATTTGAGATTTGCTTTCATTAAAACCCAGTAAATTCTTACCCCATATACAAAAATTCAAAATGGAACAAAGACTGAAACATAAGACCTAAAACTACAAAACTCTTAGACGAAAACATACAGGAAAAACTTGGTAACACTGTTTTTGGCAATGAGTTCTTGAATATGACAACAAAAGCACAAGGAACAAAAATTTTTTTAAAAATCAATGAACTGAACTATATCATAATTTAAAACTTCCGTGCATCAAAGGACACAATCAGAGTGAAAAGGCAACCTACAAAATGGGAGGAAGTATTTGCAAATCAACCCTGATAAGGATTTAACATCCTGAATATAGAAAGAACTCCTAACAAGTCAACAACAAAAAGCAAATAACCTGATTTTAAAATGGGCAAAGGACTTGAATAGACATTGTTTCAAAGAAGATACACAAAATAGTCAACAAGCACATGAAAAGATGCTCAATATCACTAATCATTATGGAAACGCAAATCAAAACCACAATGAAATCACCTCACACCCAAGAGAATGGCTATTTAAAAAACAAACAAACAACAACAACAACAAAATAAAGCACCAGCCTGGGCAACATGGCAAAACCTCATCTCTACAAAAATATAAAAATTAGCCAGGTATAGTGGCACACACCTGTAGTCCTAGCTACTTGGGAGGATCACTTGAGCCCCGGAAGTCAAGGCTGCAGTGAGCCATGATCACGCCACTACACTCCAGCTCAGCAAAAGAGCAAGGCCCTATCCAAAACAACAACAACAAGATAGAACATAAGTGCTGGCAAGGATTGGAGAAATTGAAAGCATTGTGTACTATTAGTGATACCGTAAAATGATACTGTTGCTATGGAAAATATATGGCAGTTCCTCAAAAAATTAAAAATAGAATTACTATATGATCCAGCAATTACACTTCTGGATATATATGCCACAGAATTAAAAACAGGATCTCAAAGAAACATCTGTACACCTATGTTCATAACAGCATGTTCACAACAGCCGAAAGGTGGAAGCAACCCAAGTGACCATCCATGAATGAACAGATAAACAAAATGTGATATATATACAAACTGGGAAATTATTTAGCCTTTAAATAGAAGGAAACTCTGATACATGCTACCACATGGATGAACCTGGAGGACATTTGGCTAAATGAAATAAGCCTGCTACAAACAGACGAATACCGTATGATTCTACCCATATGAGGTACATAACATTGTCAAATTCATATTGTCAGAAAGTCAAATGGTGGTTGCCCGGATTGGAGAGATGGGGGATAGGAAGTTGTTGCAATGTAACGGGTACAGACTTTCAGTTTTGCAAGAAGAAAAAATTCTGGAGGTTGATTGCACAACAATGTGAATATACATAACAACACTGAATTGGACACTTAAAATGGTTAAGGTGGTAAATTAATGTTCTGTGTATTTTGCAACAGTTAAAATTTTTTTAATAATTTTTTTAAAAACAGTAAATGCAAGGCTGTTGGGGATAGCTAAGATGCACTTATTCAAGAGCAGCACATGATAAAATTGACAAGTCAGTTCTTAAGAGGTAACATGGATACTGTGATGGCTTAAGAAAACAACTGAACTGTAGCCAGGCATGTGGCTCCCGCCTATAATCCCAGCACTTTGGGAGGCAAAGTCAGGTAAATTGCTTGAGCCCAGGAGCTCAAGACCAGCCTGGGCAACACAGTGAGACCCCACCTCTACAGAATATTTAAAAATTTTTAAAAAATTAGCCAGGGATGGTGGCACACACTTTTATTCCTAGCTACTCAGGAGGCTGAAGTGAAAGGATCACTTGAGCCTGGGAGTTTGAGGCTGTAATGAATGATGACTATGCTTCTGCACTCTAGCCTGGACAACAGAGCAAGACCTTGTCTCAAAAAAACAGAAAGAAAAGAAGTTTCTGAAATGTAATGCCCTCTCCACTCTATCCTTCACCGCCCTCCAGTTAGTGGTAATGATACCTATTTTAGCTACAGTTAGCTACAGTTCTTCTACACAGCCCCAGAAAACAGCCTATCTTAAATCTTTGCAGCCATTGCCCTCCTAATATTTTCCAGAGTAGCAGAACCAAATTGGCCACAACAGCATGCTTCTAAGCCTGAGCTTCGGTTCCTCATGTGTAAAATATGCTATCTATAGCATGCTTAGAAAAATGCTTGGCCTACCAGCTCCTCTGGGAGTTGGTGGAGAGAAGCAGGGCTGGAGTGACTGAGAGGCTCCAGACCTGGCATCATGATCAACCACAAAAAGACTTTTGCCTAGAGAGCCATCATCCTACTAACAGCCTCAGACATAGTTTTTTCCATATAAAAGAGGTAGCACCAACAACCAAGGGGATAAACTATCTCACTGAGTTTCATCATTCACCAAAATACAAAGCATGCTAAAAGCACTCTATAAAACCTCATATAAACAAACAAAAGTATCTGGTCAGTCCCCCTGTCTTTGAACCACACCTCAGAACTGTAATGTATTACTGGGCTGTAACAGTAATCTCAAAGCCTCCCATTCATCACGTAGCTCCACTAGCAGAAAATAAGCAAAACAGATTTCTTCCATGGTTCCTCCGTGTCTGCAGAATCAAATCCCAACTCTTCAACTTAAATATCATTTCAACGTTCCTATATTCCCACCATCTTCCTTCCCAGATTCATTTCTTGTTTCCTAAACCAAGCTTCATGCCACTAGAATGCCTTCTCCAGCTCTACCCACTCAAGGAGTCTAATCAATCATTAAAAAATCTAGTTGAAGTCCCATTTCACCTGAATCAGACCCACCTCTGCTGAAAGGCCACTCCTGAATGGGACAGCTAACTCAGCACACCTGTCACCCCACATTTCAACACTTAATGGTGTACTATCCAAAACAGTGGCTTGTCCCCTAGTCCTGAGTGTATATCATGTTTCCTCAAATTGACTGCAAACGACTTCAGGATGAGAAGGGTGGACACAGGTCTTGTAAATCTCCCCTAGCTCTGGACAGTGCTATGATGACTACATAAAAGCCACTTGAGGCCGGGCGTGGTGGCTCACACCTGTAATCCCAGCACTTTGGGAGGCCAAGCCGGGCAGATCACCTGAGATCAGGAGTTCGAGACCAGCCTGGCCAACATGTTGAAACCCCTTTTCTACTAAAAATACAAAAATTAGCTGAGCGTGGTGGCAGGCGCCTGTAGTCCCAGCTACTCGGAAAGCTGAGGCGGGAGAATTGTTTGAACCTGGGAGGCAGAGGTTGCAGTGAGCCAAGATCAGGCCACTGTGCTCCAGCCTGGACGACAGAGCAAGACTCCATCTAAAAAAAAACAAAAAACAAAAAACAAAAAAAAGGGCCACTGGCTGCCTACTGAATTAACACATTTATCAAGTAAAAATAAATAAAAGAGATGGCTGGTCAATATAGGCAGAGGCTGTAGCTGCTAATCTCATTTTCTTCATTTGTTTACCAAGGAACCAAAAGGAAACTTTGTGGGTATCATATGGAAAAAGGAAGGTATCAGGTTATCTGGTATGTCTAAACCTATTGGTAATTAACTATTTAAAGAAAAAACATGGAATAGATAAAATTCCTAAGATATATTCATTGCTCCCCCCTAAGCAAACCTCATCACCTTTTGGAGCCTCAATATTCTCATCAGTAAATCAGGAAAAATGTGTCCCTTGTCTTTTTGGGGGAGCTTGCATGAGGGAAGAGTAAATGATATGTGAAAAGAACTATGAAAATTACATGGTGATATTCAAATGTAATATGCCATGAATACTATTTGTTTTGAATTTTAAAAATCTATGTTTGATTACAATAGTCACACTTTATTTCTTTAAAAAAATCCTTTTCAGAGGAATTGAAAATCATTATCTCACCTACACATCATCTCTACTTAACCAGCACTAAATCTTTCTGTGCTCTTTGCATGACTATAAGTAGTTGAGCAAACTGAGTTTTCTTGGCATTTGTGCTGTTTGTCAACCAGTTTTGCATTCAATTAACAATTGCCCTGTGATATTTCCTCAACCATCCATAAATGTCTTTTTCTGTGTGTGTGTGTGTGTATGTGTATGTGTAATATTTCACAAATGTGTTATTTTCCCGAATAGGGTATATGAGTTTCTAGCTACCAGTTACCAAATCCTACATTCCCTTGTTTTCTCAGGAATGTCAAGTATAAATAATCAACATACTGTGAGTATTAAGGACAAGGTCAGGATGGATAAGAATTGTTTAACAGAGCAAATCACAGTTTTATTTTTGGGTTAAAGCAGGGATGCATTTTCATGACTCCACTCCACATCCTTAAATTCTTCAGATCTGTTTTGGCTTTTGCGGAATGACATTGTATCTTCCTATTAAAGAAAACAAACTTTCTACCATAGGCATATGAGAAACTTTAAAAACACAACCTAAAAGTGGCGTAAAGTAGGCTACAGGCCTGCTAGCTTAAGAAAGAGAAAAGTTACTTTTAGCAGCTATTTCCCCATCTTTTCACTAGGTTATAAATAACAACACCTAAAATAACTCAGAGCTATAATCCACAAATAATTTATCATAGTGTGTCCACCAGAAAATAACAATGCTCAAAGGTAGGCATTCTAAGAGTGCTTCGCTGAGATTTTTACAGGTAAGATGAGGGTTTGGTTCCCACCTTAAAATATTTCAGATCAACATTTTTTCTGGTTCTTCCATATGCAAGAAAATTTCATTGTCCAATAGTCTGTATTTTTTTTGTAGAAATTACTTTTATTATGTTAAAATATTCCTTAATGAGCTAGCAATTATTTATGTGGAGGAGAGTCCAGTCCATGACTGAATTATCCTTGCCTTGATTACAGAGATTCATGAATGACGCACATCACACCATTCTCTGGAGTAGCTGCTGAAGGTCTAGGAGGCGCTTCTCTCTGCCTGTTAGGCTGCTCCCATCACATCACGACAGGATGGACGCTGGTTTTCTCTTTTGAATTAAATCTTCACAACAGTTCGAATGCTTTTTCCAGAATGCAACAGTTCAAAGGCTTTGTTAATTTCATCAAAAGACAGATTGTGAGTCACAAATTCATCAACTTTTATCTTTTTAGACACATATTCAGATACCAACTTTGGGACACTTTCTACACTCTTTCACCCTCCAAAGGCAGTGCCTTTCCATGTGCGACCTGTTACCAGCTGGAATGGATGAGTGGCAATTTCTTGACCTGAAGCAGCTACTCCAACCACCACACTGACGCCCCAGCCCTGCTGACATGCCTCAAGTGCTGCTCTCACGACCTTGACATTCCTAATACATTCAAAGGAGTAGTCCACTCCTCCATCAGTCCGCTCAATGAGCACTTCCTGGATGGGTTGACTAAAATCCTGACGGTTCATACATTCAGTGGCTCCAAACTCTTTAGCCCTTGGAAATTTATCTTGATGGATGTCCACACCAATGATCCGGGATGCACCAGCCACTTTACCGCCCACGATAACTGTCAATCCAACTCCTCCCAGGCCAAAGACGGCCCAAACAGAGCCAGGCCCCACCTTGACAGTGTTCACAGCAGCACCATAACCAGCTGAAATGCCACAACCTAGAAGGCAGACTTTATCCAAAGGTGCTAAAGAATCTATTTTAGCAACAGAGATATCAGCCACAACTGTGCATTCAGAAAATGTGCTGGTTCCCATGTAATGTAAAATTGTCTTTCCTTTGCAAGTAAATCTGCTGGTACCATCTGGCACTAATCCTTTCCCTTGAGTGACTCTTATATTCTGGCAAGGTTAGTTTTAGGATTTAGACAAAATTTGCATTCTCCACACTGTGGGATGTAAAATGGGATGACAGTTATCACCCGCCTTCAGCTTAGCAACTCCCTCACCAACACTTCCCACAATTCCAGCACCTTCATGTCCCAAGATCACTGGAAAACAACCCTCAGGATCAGCTCTGCTCAGGGTATAGGCATTGGTATGGCAAACTGCAGTGGCAATGATCTTGATTCAAACTTCACGAGCCTTTAGGGGTGCCACCTCTATCTCCTCTACGGAGAGAGGCTTTCCAGCCTCCCAGGCAACTGCAGCCTTGCACTTGATAACCTGGTTCACCATGTCCACGGGTTCTGGTCGGCGCCAGGGATGGACTGTATATTAATGCAGAACCTAGATTATTACTGTCTGAGAGGAACTGTTGCTATTCTCATTCCATGATTGGCTTATCTGTGAGTAGAGACAGAATGTCCATCTGTGTGGGAATTAATCTGAGTTTAAGTTCCTCTCTTAATAAGAAACTATCAGCACTGCCCCAGCTCAATTGTCTATCAAGGCCAGCAGACCCATATTAAAGTAGCAAAATATGGTAACTATATCCCAGATATTCCATAAAGTACTATCTCCCACCTGATGCCACAGTTTGCATGAAGGGGAAAAAAATATTAAAAATAAAAATTGCCTCGAAGTATGCAGCTCACTGATTTCTTTATAACCACTCTAAAATCTGTCCTGGTCAGGTGTGCTGGTGGCTCACGCCTATAATTCCAGCACTTCAGAAGGCCGAGGCAGGAGTATTACTTGAGCCCAGGAGATGGAGACCAGCCAGGACGAGATAGCAAGACTATCTCTACAGAAAAAAAAATTTTACATAAAAAAATTAGCCAAGTGTGGTGGCACACTCCTGTGGTCCCAGCTACTTGAGGCTGAGGCGGAAGGAATGCATGAGCCCGGGGGGAGGTCGAGGCTGCAGTGAGCTGTGATCGCACCACTGTACTCCAGCCTGGGCGACACAGTGAAACCGTCTCAAAAACAAAACAAAACAATATCAAATCAAATCAAATAAAATCTATCCCTAGATTATGTAGATAAATCTATCTCAGGCCAGCAGAGGGCTCTACACCTTGTCCTACTGACCTCAAAAAGAATTGCCTCAACTGAATTGGGCTTGGGTGTGATATCTGAGACAAGACTGCCAAGTCCACAGAAGACTACTGAAAATGCCCATCCCATTACAGAATATCTCGTGTAGGAGGGCTCTGAAGACACATTTATTCCTGATCTTATAATTTCACAGCTCTGTCTAAAGAACTAAATAGTTGGATGGTATTTTGAGTTTGTGTTTGTTTGAGACGGAGATGGAGTCTCTGCATCCCGGGTTCAAGCGATTCTCCTGCCTCAGCCTCCAGATTAGCTGGGACTACAGGCATGTGCCACCACGCCCAGCTAATTTTTGTATTTTTAGTAAAGACGGGGTTTCACCATATCGGCTAGGATGATCTCGATCTCTTGACCTCATGATCCACCTGCCTGGCCCTCTCAAAGTGTTGGGATTACAGGCATGAGCCACCACACCTGGCCATTTGTGTTTTCTTTTTTTTAATCTCAGGGACAATATAAATTGTGTTGATCAGATGTGCTTTTCATTTTTGTTATTTAAAAAAACAGTGAAATTCACATATGGCCCACCTGCCACATGTTTGGAGATTCTGGAATATGTGTTTTTGATTAGTCTCATTCCTGGTTCCACTTCAGTATTGTTTTTTCTTTTCTTTAATCTTTTCACTAAAATAGCACCTTTTTATTTTCTTACTATATCTTTTTTTCCTAATCATTGTAAATACTTTTTGGACTAGGTAGCAATAAACACATTATTACTATTGGGGAAATAACAAAAAGGCCGTATTTATTTAATTACCTAAAGAGATGGGGTCTCATTCTGTGGCCCAGGCTGAAGTGCAGTAGTGTGATCACAGGTCACTGTAGCCTTCAATTCCTGAGTTCAAGCCATCCTCCCACCTCAGCCTCCCAAGTGGCCAGGACTACAGGTGAGTACCATGATGCCTAGCTTTTTTGTTTTTGTTTTTTGGAGAGATGGAGTCTTGCTATGTTGCCCAGGCTGGTCTCAAACTCTTGAGCTCAAGTGATCCTCCACCTCAGCCTCCCAAAATGTTGGTATTCCAGGCGTGAGCCACTGTGCCCAGCTGAGATGTCCATTTATTTTAACTCATTTGAACCATTTATAAGATGACTGACTGGCTGGATAAAAGGTAGATCTACTGACAGTAGCCTGAATTGAACTCACAATATCTGGGTTTGCGTTAATCATTTAATTATTAAAAAATAATAGCACAACCCTATAGAATTGTTTTGAGAGGGGAAGATAAGAAAAACAATAACTAATCAGTATCATAATACCACAGCATCCACTGTGTATATTTTCTAAATTTTATTTTCTTTTGAGACAGAGTCTCACTCTGTCACCCAGGCTAGAGTGCGGTGGCGCAATCTTGGCTCATTCAAAGGATTCTTCTGCCTCAGCTTCCTCAGGAGCTGGGATTACAGGAGTGTGCCACCATGCCTGGCCAATTATTTATAGTAGAGACAGGGTTTCACCATGTTGTCCAGGCTGGTCTCGAACTCCTGACCTCAAGCGATCCACTCGCCTCGGCCTCCCAAAGTGCTGGGATTACAGGTGTGAGCCACCGTGCCCAGCCTATTTTCTAAATTTTCTTTGAATGTTTTATGTAGCTGTAATCATAGTGCACATGGTTTTATAAATAATACAGATTTTTTAAATAATTGCATGATCTTCACACTTATAATTTCTATTTCTGCCACAATCTTCACACAGCACTATAACATAGCCATTAAAACAGCTCTACATGGAACACATAAATGTGATTGCCCAAAGCATCTATGGTTGGCTTTTAAATAAAAGGGCTTATTTAAAAATGGAAATGTAAAATGACAAATGTAAAATGACAAATGTAAAAGAATAATAAGATAACATCAAAAGATTAAACCCCAGGATGAACTGAGATCTCTGACATGTTTACAAATAGGCCAGGCACTATGGCTCCCACCTATAATCCAAGCACTTTGGGAGGACAAAGTGGGAAATTCACTTGAGCCCAGGAGTTTGAGGCTGCAGTGAGCTGTGATCACTGTACTTCAGCCTGGGTGTCAGAGCAAAATTCTGTCCCCCCCACCCAAAATAAAATAAAAATGACAAAGGAGTGTTTTCTTAGCTGTGCTTAAAAGAAGCACTAACATTACTACCAGTGAGATACAAATTGGCACAAATTTTCTACAGAAAAATTTAATATCAAAATAATTTAAAAACCTATCCCTTTTGGTTTTTTTTGTTTTTTGTTATTGTTGTTGTTTGAGATGGAGTCCTGCTCTGCCACCCAGGCTCAAGTGCAATGGCACAATCTTGGCTCACTGCAACTTCTGCCTCCCAAGTTGGTTTGATTCTCCTGCCTCAGCCTCCCAAGTAGCTGGGATTACAGGCATGCACCACCATACCCAGCTAATTTTTGTATTTTTGGTAGAGATTGGGTTTCATCATGTTGGCCAGGCTGGTCTTGAACTCCTGACCTCAGGTTATCCGCCTGCCTCGGCCTCCCAAAGTTCTGGGATTACAGGCGTGAGCCGCTGCGCCCAGTCAACCCATCTGTTTTGAACCACCAATTCCACTCATAGAAGTCTTCTCTAAGGGGAGAATATATCAGTGATATGCAAAAATATTTATGTACTAGAATATATTTATTCCAATGTTACTTGCATTTTTACAAAAGAAAAAAAGTAGAGTTTCCAAAAATAGCAGTAAGAATAAAAAATTTAATTTGTACATATAGTGGGACAATCAAGAGCTATTAAAATCACATCTCATTGAATGCCATGTAAAATCTGTTTATGGTATGTTGCCAAGTGAAAGTATTTGGCTATAAATTTATATTGTAAATATAATACACGAGGCTGGGTGCAGTGGCTCACATCTGTAATGCCAGCACTTTGAGAGGCTGAGGCAGGTGGATCGCCTGAGGTCAGAAGTTGAAGACCAGCCTGGCCAATGTGGTGAAACCCCATCTCTACTATAAATACAAAAATTAGCTGGGCTTGGTGGCTGGCACCTGCAATCTCACTTACTCGGGAGGTTCAAGCAGGAGAATCGCTTGAACCCGGGAGGCAGAGTTTGCAGTGAGCCAAGATCGTGCCATTGCACTCCAGCCTGGGCAACAAGAGCGAAACTCTGTCTCCAAAAAAAAATTAATAATAATAATACATGAGCTAATGGCTACATAACGTATAATTATATAATGAGGTAACGTTTATTTATATATATATATTTTATATTTATATACATATATATAAAAAACATGGAACACATAAATGTGAGTTTATATATATCTTGAAGGGAAGAGGAAAGGGAATATTAAATTAAGAAAAAATTAGCAAGCCAGGATTCAAGGGAGAACACAGACCTAGTGAGCGGAGGTTGGCTCATGGGGGATCCTTTTGCCCCCACCCCTCAACACCCTACAGGATTCCTGTGAGAGTTTGTGGACACATTATCCGGGGAAAGGGACTGGAGGACCCTGACCTCTAAGAGAGACTGGCCCTACCAACACCTCTCACTTGGGGTTAGAATCTAAAATTCCATCACACTAGTAACAAAGATTAACTAGAAGAAGGCAGGTCGAACATTTTCAGGGCTAAAATTCAACTTCAAAGCATCTAAATCTTTGAACATACCTCAAGGTGATCTTGGAATATTAGTGCCCCAGGTCCCCGGCAAAAGCAAACATAAATCCTATCTGGGAAAAGATGAGATCAAACTAAGCATTTGCACAGCATAAAATAAAAAAAAAAAATAGAAAAATGGAGACATAAATAAAAAATAAACAAAAATCAATAGGAAAACAGACAACAGAAAAAGACACACAGGGATCCTAGATTGTTATCAGACTCACATTTTAAAATAGCTATGTTAAATCTCTCCAAGAAGATAAAAGACAAAATAGACTTCAGCAAAGAGTGGTGGCTCATGCCAGTCATGCCAACACTTTTGGGAGGTCGAGTTGGGAGGATTGCTTGAGTCCAGCAGTTTGAGACCAGCCTAGATAACACAGAGAGACCCCGTCCCTACAAAAAATTTTAAAATCTAGCCAGGTGTGGTGTCCATACCTGTAGTCCCAGCTACTTGGGAGGCTGAGGCTAGAGGATCACTTGAGCCCAGGAGGTTGAGGCTGCAGTGAGCTATGATCGCACCACAGCACTTCAGCCTGGGAAACAACATGAGACCCTGATTTAAATTTTTAAACAGAAAGAAAAAATGCCAACAGATAACTAGAAATAATTTTAAAAACTGAGCAATTCTAGAACTGACAAATAGCCAAATTAAAACCTCAACAGATCTACTTAATGGTAGATTAGAAGCAGCTGAATAAAAAATTAGTGCATTCAAAGAAGGATAAAAAGAAACAATCCAGAATGAAGAAATGGAGTCAAAAGGATGGGAAATATTGCAGAAAAAATAAGAGGATAAAAGATACAGTGAAGAACTCTAACTTATGTATAATTGGAGTCCCAGAAAAAAAGATATCATAAAGAGAATAACTTAGAAGCATTATCTATAGAAAGATCATTCCTGAAAACATAAAATGAAAGAAAGTATCAAACTACTACTGATTTCAAAGCCCTATAAATGCTATAAGTGGGTGAATACAGTAAAACTGCTATAAAAAAGCTAAAAATAACATCTTTAAAGCAGCCACAAATAGATGACCTTCAATGAATGAATAAACAGATTATTTTTGTTAAGAAGTTAGTGTCATTGAAAGCTAGAAGATAGTGTAATGATCTTTTTTAAACTGCCTACTAGAATTCTACACCTTGTAAAAATATTTTTCAAGAAGAAAATGAAAGAAACCTATTTTAAGACCAAAAACACTAAAGAATTTGTCACCTAGCAGGCTTGCACTAAAGGAAATACAAAAAGATGCTCTTTAGGCTGAAAGAAAATAATCCCAAACAGATTCCTGAAGATGCAGAAAGAAAGAACAAAGAAAAAAGATTAAATGAATACTAAACATATAAACAGTATTAATGTCCTGTGGAGATAATATAGAAAGAATTAAAATAAAATAACAATGTGTAACTTGGAAGTGAAATTTATTAAGTTAGGGAATCTCAAGGTTGCTTAATTTGTCTGGAAACAGGTCTTAAGGTTGCTTAATTTGTCAGGAAATAGGTGAAAGTACCAAAAAACAAAAAAGGCAAAAATGTATGCAGTTTTAAAAGATAAGCTTAGGTGTAGTGGCTCAGGTCTGTAATCTCAGCACTTTGGGAGGCCAAGGCGGAAAGACTGCTGGAGCCCAGGAGTTCAAGACCAGCCTGGACAAGATAGTAAAATCTTGCCTTTACAAAAAAATTTAGAAATTTAAAAATAAACATAAAAATTATCTTGGGGTGGTGACGCACCCCTGTAGTGTAGTCCTAGCTACTTGAGAGGCTGAGGTGGGAGGATGGCTTAAGCCCAGGAGTTCAAGGCTGCAGTGAGCTATGATTATGCCACCGCACTCCACCATGGGTGACAGAGGGAGACCTTGTCTTAATAATAAAAATAAAAATAATAATAATAAAAGATAGTTGGTAAAATTACAGTTTTTAAAATACCAGAGAGAACAATTAAATAGTAAAGAGTAATTGATAAATCCAAAAGACACAAAAGGAAAAGGACTATAGAACAGATAAGACAAATAGAAAATATACAATAAAATAGTACTTTAAATCCAAGCATTTAAACAATTGTATTAAATGTAAATGGACTTAGTTATACTTCAGTAAAAAACAAAAGACTGTCAAGATAAAAAATGAGCTCCAAACCTACGCTCTTTATTGAAGATACAAATGAAAAGGTATAAAAATGATTAAGATTACTAGAAAGTAAAAAGATATAACATGTAAATTTTAAACTAAAGAAGGCAAGTATAGCTATATTAATAACAGATAATGATTTACAGCAAAAAGCATCATAAGAAACAAAGTGAGAGTCTTCTATTGATAAAAATGTAATTCATAAGGAAAATAAATAATTCTAAATATGCGTGCTTCAAATAACAAGGCTTCAAAGCACACATAGCAAAAATTGGCAGAGCTCTAAGGAAAAACACATGTCCACAAACATAGTAGCAATAACTTTCTCAATAGCTGCTACAATGAAAAGAAAAAGTAAGGATATGGAAGATCTGAACAACATAATCAGCAATTTACCTAATGGACTGAAGCAAAACATTTAACCTAAAACATTCTTTTCAAGCATACACAGCACACTGATGAAAGCTGATCACATCTTCGGTAAATCTCAATAAATGGCAACATACTGAAATGAAGAGTATGTTTTCTCTTAATATAATGAATTAAATTAGAAATCAATAATAAAAGAAGATAAAACAAAGTCTCCATGTTTGGAAATCAAGCAATACAATTCTAAATCACACATTATTGAAAAAGACAACAGAGTCAGCATTTTAAAATATTTTTTAAATGAAGGATAATATAAATATTTGCCATAACTTTAGAGATACAGTTAGTCATGTTTAGAGAGAAATCTGTAGGTTTAAATGCATATATTAAAAAGATAGAAGGTTACAAAAATCAGTATGTTAAATATCCATCTAAAGAATTTAGGAGAGAAAAAGATCCAGCAATTTAGCCCAAAGAAGGGAGAAAGAAGGAAACAGATTTAAGTGTTAATAAATAGCCTCCAAAGAAGTCTTCTGGAAAAGCTAATAATATTAAAAACCTCTGGCAAGTATAATCAAGTATTGATACAAATAACTAATGTCAGAAATAAAAAAGGAAACATAACATTGATCCTACAGGCTTTAAAGTAGTAAGATATTAGAATAACTTTACACCAAAATTTAAAAATATTAGATAAAACATAATTTTTAAGGAAAAAAATGCAATTTACCAAAATCAACATACAAAAAAGAAAATGTGAATCGTTTCATAACTAGCTTTTGCTTTCTTTTTTTGAGACGGAGTCTTGCTCTGTCACCCAGGCTAGAGTGCAGTGGTGCGATCTCGGTTCACAGCAACTTCTGCCTCCCAGGTTCAAGCTATTCTCCTGCCTCAGCCTCCTGAGTAGCTGGGACTACAGGCAACTGCCACCACGCCCGGCTAATTTTTCTATTTTTAGTAGAGATGGGGTTTCACCATATTGGTCAGGCTGGTCTCGAACTCCTGACCCTGTGATCCACCTGCCTCGGCCTCCCAAAGTGCTGGGATTACAGGCATGAGCCACCATGCCCAGCTGCTTTTGCTTTCTTCATAATTTCTTTTGACAATTTTTTGTTTTTTTTTTTTTGAAACAAGGTCTTGCTCTGTCACCCAGGCTTGAGTGCTAGAGTACAATCACAGTTCACTGCAGCCTCAACCTCCTGAGCTCAGGAGATCCTTCCATCTCAGCCCCCTAAAGCGCTGGGATTACATGTGTGAGCCACAACACCCAGCCCATTTACTTTCAATATACTCCAAATTATCAGTCTTTTCCTCTATAGCCAGGGTATTGTCCTGTTTAAGAAGTTTTTGCCTACTCCATAAGCAACAAGATACCTCCCATATTATCTTCCAGAAGGTTTGTTATTTTATCTTTCACATTAACATTTATAATCATCCTAGAAAGTTTTGTATTTGTGAGATGGATATCAACTTTCATTATCTTTTTCATATGATTACCCAGTTGACCCCATCTCATTTATTTAAAAGGCTGTATTAAGCTGCTTTTCAGTGCCACTTTTGTCAGTCATTAACTGTCTATATACATGAGAGTCTGTTAGGTGACTCTGTTCCACTGTGTGTTTCTATGTCCTTGCACAAATACTAGAATGCTTAATTACTGTTGCATTATAATAAGTCTTGATACCTGGAATATTAACTCTTTCCACTTGTATTTTTTTTTTTTTTCAGGTGGAGTCTCCCTCTGTCGCCCAGGCTGGAGTGCAGTGGCACAATGTCGCCTCACTGCACGTTCCGCCTCCCAGGTTCACGCCATTCTCCTGTGTCAGCCTCCTGAGTAGCTGGGACTACAGGCACCCACCACCACGCCTGGCTAATTGTTTTCTATTTTTAGTAGAGACAGGGTTTCACCTTGTTAGCCAGGATGGTCTCTTATCTCCTGACCTCGTATTCCGCCTGCCTCGGCCTCCCACTTTGATTTTTTTAAAGATCATCTTCCTTATTCTAGGCCCTTCCAACATAAAGTTTAGGGGTAGTTTGTCACATCCCACTAAAGCACACAAGCACGCATTCACGCACACCCTTGAGACATTGATTAGAATTGCATCTAATCTATTAGTTTGGAGAGAAATGAAATAAAAAAATTCAAAACCATAAACATGATAAATCTGTTCATATACTTGTCATTTCTGATTTTTCTCAATGAAGTTTATTAGGCTTCTGCATACAGGCCATGCACATGTCTGTTCAGTGTCTTCTTAGATTATTTGATGTTTTTAATACTGTCTTAAATGTATTATTTTTTAAGTATTTTTAAAATTTTTGTTTGCTGATACAGAAATGGCATTGGTTTTACATATTGATTTTGTGTTCAGTAATTATGTAAATTTTATTTCTAATTATTTATCTGTAAATGTATTTGAAATTTTTACATATACAATCACATCATCATAAATAATGGCAGTTTTATTTCTTCTCCAATTTCTTATTTATCTTCTAGACCATATAGGAATAATTGTTCAGTACAAGACAGAGTGGTAATAGTGGCATTGTTTTCTCATTCCCAAACTTAAAAGAACAAACCTTCAATATTTCACCATCTAATGATATTTGCTGTAGATTTCTTATAATTGTCCTTTATCAGGGTAAGCAAGTTTTCTATTTCTAAGTTTCCTAAGAGTTTCTGTCATGAATGGTGATACAGTTTATCAAACACTTTTCTGATAATCTCTAGGGAGAATCATTATATATATACACATTATATACATATATTATATACATTATATATAATGTATATATACATACAATGTATATAATGAAAAATATGTGGCTTTTAAATGTGAAGCTGACCTTACTTTCCTGGAATCAACCTAACCTGGTTTTGATATGTCATTTGGTTTTCAAATATTAAACCAGCCTTGCATTCCTTTATATACATTGCTGGATTAAATTTGCAAATATTTCATTAATAAATATTTACATTTATCAGGGATAGTAGCTATAGTTTTCTAATGACTGTATCTGGTTCTAGTATCAGGGAAATTTTGGCCTCATAAAATAAGCTGGGCAGTGTTCATTCCTCCTCTGTTTTCTGAAAGAGTTTATACTAAGACTGGTTTTATTTCTTCTTTAAATGTTTGGTAGAATTCACCAATGAAACTACCTGAGTCCAGAGGTTTTGTTAACACTCTTATTTTATTAATAACAAAAAAAAAATTCTAAGATGAGGAACAAACTGAAGACCAAAAGAATATGTGTGTATGTGTGTGTGTGTGTGTGTGTGTGTATATATATATATACACAGATATAGATATATATATATACACAAATATATATATATATATATATATATATACACAGATATATATATATATCTCTCCATGTATGCAAATAATTCATATGCTCCAAGAGGGATTGAAAATCTAAGCACTCAAGAGAGAGCAAAAACATTCATACCACCATGACTTGGGCTTTTTAAAATAAACTTTCAAACCCTCTCAGTGAGCATGCATTATTTGTAATTAGAATTAAAAGTAATAAATGGCAGTCAGGGCTGGCTCCCCACAAACAGGTTAGGTTAAATAGAATAGGTTCTCCCCACACTCTGTTCTGAGCTTGTAATGATAGTGTGGACAGGCTTTCCGACATGGCTACAAGTTGGATATGGTCTGTTTCACTTTGAAGATCCTATTAGTTCATTTCACTAGCCTTCCACTTCTCACACAGCAAGAACAAAGTAATACCTGACTCTTAGATGGGTGAGGAACCCCATTTTGAACTCCATAACCAAAAGAGAGAGATGTGACGGCTCAGGTTTGCTGGGAGTGGGGCTACTACTGTCAAATACAGAAGCCACAGAATACAGGAGTTAGAAGAGCAGGGAAAAAATAGAGTGTCAAGCCTACAAAAATGGAGAATATCTCTCAAATTACTAAAGGTCATCTAGAAGACATTAACACGATACCTTTTATTTCTAATGAGGCTAAAGCAGCTCACTTTAAACCCCAGCGTATCAGAGAAAAGACAGACATAAAGATAAGTTTCATAGGGTGGATTTAAAAAAAAAACACAGAAAAAGGCAGTCTTTATAATTTTGTAGCAGTTGGACAAGCAAACCAATTAAAATTTCTTGTTAGTCTTTTACTTTATGGTACCATGAGACTATTCTATCATCAATTAGATAATGCAAATGATGGAAAATCCCAGAATTAAGGGAAACAAAGCAGTCAGGTTGAACGGGAAACAGTTTTTATAATGTTTTATAGCAGTTTTATAACTTTTCTCAAATCTTCTTATTGGTTCCAGATAAAAGACTATATATAAATATTATGTAGAAGGGTAATCATTAAGCTACCAAAGAATAATAAATACAATATGAAACATAAAAACATGGTATTAATTAGCTCAATCTTTAAGAGATGTTACATCTGAATTGAAATATTACATTAGCAATATTCAGCCTGTCATTTTTATCAACTAGAGTCTTTATGAGAGTGTGGACAAAATAGGGGATGCATTAGGGGTTCAGAAGAAAATTATTAATCAGTTCGACACAAAATGCAGGACTGGTGCACTTGGTCAGTAACATACTAACAATAGAAACTAAGTAGTAGCTTGGGAGAGCTTATTGGGAGATGGATCAAATTCAGGCGTGGTGGGGGGGAGATGCAGTTATGTGATTTTTATAAAAGTATTTGACCTATATTTAGAAGCTCATTTCCATTCAACTTGATGTCTGAATTATTGGTTGACCTTGAAGAAAATAAAATTAACTGAAGTCTAAATGACTCTTTCCTAATCATACATTAGAGAGGAAACATATCTAGCCAACCTTGTGGCATTGATAAGAATAAATTATATAACATCAATAATGCTCTGAACATCACCCAGGGAGGTCAGTTGACTTACCCAAGGTCATAGCAAATTCAGAAAAAGACAGAAAGGTTCTCCTACCTCCAGCCAAGCATAGAAGCTTTCCTGTAATACACAAAGCTTATGCTCTGAGGCCTTGAAAACCAGTGGTTTTCTTTTTGGTTTGGTTTTGTTTTTCAAATCCAAGCTGAATCTAACTTGGCATTCCGGCTGGATTAAATATTTAACACATCTTCTAACATTATCCAGCTGCAAGAAAAAAAAATGAGAGAGGTAGGATCTTATGGGGATTAGGGGATGCTCTTAGAATTTAAAAAATTAATTTTAAATCCTGGAAGGCCTCAGCCTTCCAAGTAGCTGGGACTATAGGTGTGTACCACTGTGCCTGGCTGACTTTTTTTTTTTTTTTTTTTTAGTAGAGACAGAGTCTGACTATGTTGCCTCAGCTGGTTTCAAACTCCTAGGCTCAAGTGATTCTCCTGCCTCAGGCTCCTAAAGTGCTAGGATTACAGGAGTGAGCCACCACGTCTGGCCCTTTTCAGTGATATATATTTATAAAAATTCCAAGTTTTAGTCATTTTTTTAAAAAAAGTATCTAATTTTGAAGTGCCAGTCTTGAATAGTTAATCTCCCTGAACCTCAATTTTCCCTCTGTAAAATGGGGATATTATGAGATAATTTTTGCAAATCATAATGCCTGAAATATCAAGTGTTCCATAAATAGTACCAACTACAGTTACTATAGTTAATATTGCTTCTTTCCTTCCTTCATTCCTTCCTTTCCCCCACTTCATTACTTCCTTTTCTCCCCTTCCTTCCTTTATTTCCCTTCTAAATTAAAAAAGAAGTTATTATAATCATTGACTGGTTTCACCTTCAGATAACCCAGACATGGAGGCAACTTTTCTAATACTTCTGAAAAGTGAAAACAAAATCTTTCAGTACAGCTGTGCAGAGCCATAACAGAAGCTATTATTTCTCTCAGTGACTGATATTTCAAGGAAAGCGTTAAACTAATAGCAATGACTAGGAAAGCACGGTTTTAATGAACTCACATACTCCCACAGATTTCTACCACAGACATACACGAAGCTCAGTTCTTGAGTAATTAATTGTGAGCAACTACTTTATACCAGATAAACTAGGATCAACTAAATGTCAGCATGAAACGTTAAAGTTATAAGCCTCTCTACAGCTTCAGAAGGTAGCTATATAAAGTATTAGCTATTAACACAGCACTGTAGAGGAAACAATAATTTGTCATATTAAATAATGTAAGCTGTGCGGTAGACTTTTTAAAGTCAATAGTTAAATGCCTTTTATTGCTAAGAAATAAAGTTTTTTTCTTAACTTTCATTTTCTAGATATCAGCAAGTACAATTAAGAGTAAATCCATTTAAATTGAATAATTCTATTATTCTGTCCACTCTTCCTAAAGCTTTCAAAAGCTTGCTCAAATAGCAACGTAAATCCTCTTTGTTTCTAGATCTTATTTTTCTTTCTTCTTGTCTTTCCTGTATATTATAATTCAGGCGATTAATGAATTGCATCTATTAATCTAACATATCCCACTTCCTCAGTGATTCCTACTAACCTGTAGATGTTCAAATTCCATCTTCTTGGTCAATGCATTCTGCTTGATCCTTTCTGGAGACAGGTCCTGACAAACCTTTTCTACTTTGCATAATTCCGTCCCATCACAAGAGTGGATGCTTTCTCTTACCATCCTAGGGCCAACTAGGATTTCAGCCCACCACCTTAGCCTGCTCTAACTCAGCTGTTGGAGAGAAAAAATCCCTCTTGTGAAGCAAGTGCACAGTCTATTTCAGAGACTAAACCCTGCCCTCACTCCCTTCACAGCGTTACTGGAACCAGTTTCCTGACTCTGCATTACCTCTGTAGCACTTCCTTTGGAAATGTAACAAGAGCAACATGGATGAATTAAAAGGAAATGCCTCTGCCGAGACATCTTAAGAGAAGGCAATCAATAAATTTTAAGTATCCTAAAATAAATTTTCGGAAGTAGTGAATGGTTTGGAGTTTAAACAAATGGATTTTTTTTATCTGCCTCAAACCCAGCTGAACATTTCCCTCTGCATGAGGCTGTTTTCAATGACATACTTCTTGCTGTTGTTGTTGTTGACAGGGTCTTACTCTGTTGCTCAGGCTAGAGTGCAGTGGTGCAATCATAGCACACTTCGGCCTCCTACTCCTGGCTCAAGTGATCCTCCCGCTTCAGCCTTCCTAGTAGCTGGGACTATAGGTATGCACCACTGTGCCTGGCTGACTTTTTGTTGTTGTTGTTGTTGTTTAGTAGAGACAGAGTCTGACTATGTTGCCTCAGGTGGTTTCAAACTCCTAGGCTCAAGGGATTCTCCTGCCTCAGGCTCCTAAAGTGCTAGGATTACAGGAGTGAGCCACCACGTCTGTCCCTTTACGGTGATATATATTTATAAAAATTCCAAGTTTTAGTCATTATTAAAAAAAAAAAAAAGTATCTAATTTTGAAGTGCCAGTCCAGATGGTCAGTTTTTTTTTTAATGATATAGCTAAAGAGTCCTTTTATATACTAACAAATTGTGCATTGCTCATCAAAAATTAAGAGCATGAATTATTAAAAAACATTACTCAATAAAGAATTGCCCATCTAATCTGCAAAACTAGAAACCTTGATCTTTGACAACCTCACACCTTCTAAATCTAGTAAGTCACCAAAATGAATTATTTCCATCTCAGATATGTCTGTAGAATGTGTTTCTTATTCATCTCAATCACTTTGGGCTCTCAAATCTAGTTTAAAAACATTTTGATAGGCCAGGCACAGTGGCTCACATAATCCCAGCACTTTGAGAGGCCAAGGCAGGAGGAACACTTGAGGCCAGGAGTTTGAGACCAACCTGGCAACATAGCTAGACCCTGTCTCTACAAAATATTTAAAAATAGCTAGGCATGGCAGTGCACATCTAATCCCAGCTATTCCAGAGATGGAGGTGGAAGTGGGAGAATCACTCGAGGCTAGGAGTTAGAAGCTACAGTAAGCCATGATTGCACCACTGTACTCCAGCCTGGGCAGCAGAATGAGATTGGTTAAAAAAATAAAAATTAAAACAAGATTTATAGTCTCTTTCATGATTACCACATCCTGGTAGCTAGCTCTCCACTATGCAGAAAATCATCTTCATCGAAAGCAAAGATTAGTGGCCAGGTGTGGTTGCTCACACCTGTAATCCCAGCATTTTGGCAGCCAAGGTGGGTGGATTGCTTGAGCTCAGGAGTTTGAGACTAGCCTGGGCAACATGATGAAACCCTGTCTTTACAAGAAATACAAAAATTAGCAGGGTGTGGTGGTGTGCAACTCTAGTCCTAGCTACTCAGGAGGTCAAGGTCGGGGGGGGGATTGCTTAAGTCTGAAAGGTTGAGGCTGCAGTGAGCCATGATCACAACACTGCACTCCAGCCTGGACGACAGCACAAGGCCCTGTTGAAAAGAAAAGGAGGGGAGGGGAAGGGAGGGGAGGGAAGAAAGAAAGAGGGAGGGAGGGAGGGAAGGAAGGAAGGAAGGAAGGAAGGAAAAAATTAGCATATTCCTTTCTTGCTACTACAAATCTGAGATCTCTGGTTGGTCCAAGGGTAGTGAGTTATTTCAATTGATTTCAATTGATTGTTCAGAATCAGTTACAGATCAAATTCCTTGTTCTACTCTTTCCTTCTTCTCACTACTACACTTGACTAGCCTTTAAAAATGAGTAAATACAAATATTTGAGACCTCTAATGATTCTGAGATGGAATTGGGATTGCGGATGTGCCTATGAAGATGCCCTTAGTAACAGGTATCACCCATCCCTGTCTCCGCCCATCCTTCACAGCCCACCTTGGTTTCTGCCAACTGGAATTGCTCACCATTTCTTCAATGTGTCAGGATCTTTCACAGCCAACCGTATCTCTGAGGCAGAAACCAGGTTTTCCGCCAAGAACAACCTGTCTTTTCCACCTTGAAAACTCCTACTTAACCTTCATGTGCCACTTCAAATGCCACCTTTCTAGAATGGGGCCTTCCTCCACTTACACGGGTGTTTATTGCTTCATCTGTGTTCCCAGAGCACTCTGTACTATCTGTGTCAGCATTGACTGTGTTTGAACTGAGAATTCTCTTTGATGCATTGTCTGTCTGCTCCCTCTCTCCAGTGAGAACGTACGTTCTCCTAAGACACGGACATGAATTATTCTTAACTGGGTAGGCCTTGTAGGTAGTAACACTTTTTTTTTTTTTTTTTTTTTTTTGATGGAATCTCACTTTGTCGCCCAGGCTGGAGTGCAGTGGCCTGATCTCGGCTCACTGCAACCTCCGCCTCCTGGGTTCAAGAGATTCTCCTGCCTCCGGAGTAGCTGTGATTACAGGCATGCACCACCACACCTGGCTGATTTTTGTATTTTCAGTAGAGGCAGGGTTGTGCCATGTTGGCCAGGCTGGTCTCGAACCCCTGAACTCAGGTGATCCACCCTCCTTGGCCTCCCAAATGCTAGGATTACATGTGTGAGCCACAGCGCCCGGCTGGTGTTCACACTTCTTGAACCCCTTACTGCATGTTAGCTTTATCATAATCCAACAAAAAGTTCATGAAATTTAAATGAGGCAACTTCTGGGCTTAAATCATAACTCCATCTTTTTCTAGAAATTTACCTGTGAGAACCTTTAGTCCCTGGCCTATAAAATAGCATCATACAGGCTGGGAGCAGTGGCTCACACTTGTAATCCCAACACTTTGGGAATTCGAGCTGAGAGGATCACTTGAGCCCTGAGTTCAAGGCCAGCCTGGACAACATAGTGAGACCTCGTCTCTACAAAAAAATAAATAAATAAATTTGCCAAGCATGGTGGCATGCACCTGTGGTACCAGCTACTAGAGAGGTTTAGGTGGGAGATCACTTCAGCCCAGGAGGTTAAGGCTGCAGTGAGCTATGATCGTACAACTGCAAGCCTGTCAAAAAAAAAAAAAAAAAAACTGTAAATACAACCAGCTCAATGGGTACTTTTTGAGAACCGAGTGAGATTAAATGAGATGATATAAGAATTTTGCCCGAAAAAGTCCTGCCATGAATATAACAACAAAAATGATGATAAAATGGCTCTAGCATCTACTCAGCCCTCGTTCTATGCTGGGCATTGCCATAGCCCCTTTACAGCCCACGTTGTAAATATCACTAACCCTCCATCTTAACAACTAGGAACCAAGCCCACGGAGGACAAATGAGCCAGCCAGTGCCACACAGCAATCACTCAGCAAAGCCATGACTCAGACCCGCCTGGGGATTCCACCACACTTACTCTATAATGTTCTCTTACATAAGTGCCTGATATTTTATCTGATCCTCACCAAAACTCTTCTATTTTCCTCATCTTACAGATGAAAACACTAAGTCTCAAATAAGTAACTCACCCAAAATCACA
This sequence comes from Homo sapiens, assembly GCF_000001405.40. Lineage (NCBI taxonomy): Eukaryota > Metazoa > Chordata > Mammalia > Primates > Hominidae > Homo > Homo sapiens. The sequence goes on along the minus strand of NC_000001.11, from coordinate 240,152,939 downwards.
GGGCTACAGGGTGAACAACTCAGACTGGGCCTCTGGAAAGTTTAGTGGATTTTATTGCCACTGTTTTGTAGCTGTCTCCAATAATCACTGATGGCTCTGAGTAAGGGAGAAGGAGGTGGTGACTTGCAAAATAGACACTCCACAGGGTTGAAAGGCTGAGAAATGCCAAGACAGTGGCAGGCTTCTCTCTGCATGGATCTGCTTAGTAGAGCAGCAAAGGTTCCAGAAATAGAATTTCATAGATTGGTATTCTAGCATGACATTAGTTTCTCGGGATGTTGTCTCTGCTTAGTCCTAGCTCATCCCAGAAGTAGGCACAGGCAACAGGGCCACTGTGCTGAGGTTCTCCAGCAATTATGGGAACAAGCGTAAGAAGAAGAGAGCGTGGTATGTATGAGTCTACCGCATGATGCTACTGCTAGGACAAATTTGGAAACGGAAACAAAAGGTTAAGCATATGGAACCCACCCCCACATACACACACATCCTCCTCCTGGCTCTATGAGAGCAGAAGATCCAAAGGAAGGAATTAGAGTGGGGTGAATTTCAAAAACTATAGCCTTATAAAAGGAAACCAATTTTGAGTTAAGGGAAGGAATAAAAGGAATGTAAGGCTTTTTCTTTTTTTTTTTTAAATGAGCTCGGAGTATCAAAAGGGTCCAGTGAAGAGCACACAGATTCTAGACAGGGCCTAGAGAAGACAGAGGATCAGGACTGGATTAGACAGAGAGGAGAATTATGTGTATTCTGTAAATGCCAGAGCCCATGGTGGTACCTACCCTCAAGAAGGAATAAGAAAAGGGAATATGAAAAGTGCTGATAGCAGGGTTTAATTTAGAACAGTGACATGCATTAAAAAGTCCATTGGAGGCCGGGCATGGTGGTTCACGCCTGTAATCCCAGCACTTTGGGAGGCCAGCTGAAGCAGGAGGATTGCTTGAGCCCAGGAGTTCGAGAGCAGCCTGGGCAACATGGCAAAACCCCATCTCTATTTAAAGAAAAAAAATTAGATTGGCTAGGTGGTGCACATCTGCAGTCCCAGCTACTAGGGAGGTTAAGGTGGGAGGATCGCTTGAACCTAGGAGTTTGTGGCTGCAGTGAGCTATGATCGCAGCATTGCACTCCAGTCTGGACAACAGAGCAAGACCCTATCTCAAAAAAATAAAATAAAGAAAAAGTCCATTGGCCCCTCTGCTTTGCCACACAGAGAGTTCTGCTCCTTCAGAGGTAGACTTACACTTTTCAGTGATTCAGTCTTAAAATTAGACAGCAAGTCTCAAGCTGAGTGGGGCAACATCTAAATGCCTATCATAAAGATTTTCTTAAGCAAAAAGAAATACTGTACGAAACTGCATTCACAATTTTCTAAGACTCCTGTCTCTCAGAATCCAGACTTCGCCCACACCGGAGCTTACATTTTCTCAAAGGTGTTAGCTGAAGGTGAGGTTTGAACAATTCGCCCCAGGAAAGCGCATACCAAGCAGAAGTAGCACATATATGAAAGCTGCCTGTTGGGTCTCTTTTCACAGAAAGAAAAGCTAAAATAAGGGCTCAGCCTTAAGATCTGTCACCAACCACGGATAGCACAGGAAACAGGCTGGAACTGAGATTAAGATCTGTGACATGCTCTGCTACTTATAGACTAGGGTGACTTGTTGGTGCTTAGAATGGGCACTGACTCACCCATTAGTAGACTATATAGCCATTATGGCTACAGTTATTATTATCATCATTTAAAAATGAGGTAGGCCTTCACGTGCAGTGCTTTGATCTACTGAGCCCAAATATACTTCAATAGAATAAAGTAGAGAATTTGAACAAGTCATTTCTAAAGACCGTGCCCTTAAATCAACATAACAATTGGGACTTAGAAACCAGGATATTTATCCATAATATCCATGTATAGACCCATAGAAGGATGGTTAATTTCTACCATATATTTCTTATTTTCTGAAGCTATGGATATAGGGAAGGTTACTGTGAAAACCTATCATCTCTTTGCCTTTGAACATACCTGTGAAATGCTAACATGTGTGGATGTAGAGCCTGTAATGATTATTCCAAAATACATTTAGGGACTTCTGCATAATAGACACAGCAGTTAAGAGCAGGCATTTCAGAGTTTATCATACCTAGATCTCAATGCTTCTCTACTAATTATTATGGCCAGTCTCTTTATAAAAAATACACCTAACAAAACCTCCAAGGGGTGTTAAAGATCAAATGACATGTGTAAAACCCTCAGCAAAGCTCAAAAAGTGGTGACTATTAGCATTAAACGGGTCACTAGAGGGATTTAGTTTGACTTTTACTGGTGAGGCCACACCGTTGGTAAGAGTTGAGAAACAAAACCAATTTTCATCACCTAGCTCAGTACTCTTTAGCTGGACTTTAGTCTCAAATTATTATTAAATATCAGCTTGACCTTAATTAAAGCCTTGATCTAACAAGGCTGTGAGCAAGATATGCCTTCCCTGTTTTTCTTGGTCTCGCGTTGTAAAAACTTTCCTTGTGTTTACAGACATTGTTTCTTGTTCATAATTAATGAGCACATGGGATGGATGTCTTGTTTCATCAATAATCATTTTCCTTCTGTACACAGAAGAGACTACCCAGTTTCCACCCGCGTGATTTGTTGACTATGTCTGATGGCTGGCTGACCTCAATTTTCATTTGCAGTTCATCGTATCTATAAGCATCCATGATCTTTGTATCTTGATGTAAGCTTCTGTACAAAATTTTTGTTCAAATCCTTAAAAGTGAAAACATATTTCAATAAGGGTTAATCATTTAGCTAAAGGAGCATATAACCTTTAGCAAATACAACTTAATTAAAAATCTGTTTTATCTGAAAAGGAAGTTGTGTTATTTTAACCAATCAAGAGACTTTAATGGAGTAAGTGCTGTATCAGAAGAGGACAAAAAATACTTAATCAACATTAGCATTTATACATATCAGATTGTTTTCTCTAATGTTATTGATACCTTAACTATAACCATATTTGTTTTCACCTGTACTCAGGGGAAAAAAAACACAAATGCTATTTTCTTGAAAAATCTATAAAGCTTTCGCTACTCTCTAATTTCAAAAATTTACCTCAAAGAATTTTTGATTTTAAAATGTAAAGCTATTACAATTAATCTTCCTGTGAATATATTTTGCAGTGGTGAAATTTTAAGACGCCTTCCTGTAACTCCTTATATTTGGAAATGAATACTGTTCTGAGAATTCTTCTGCATAATTTGAAATGACCAGCAGAGGGCAGAGCTAAAAATTTGACACTAGAATCCCTGTGCATGAATGAGAAGAAATTTCCAAAATGAGGCTGAGGAGTTCTATTTTTGACTGAAATTTAGCACCTCGGTTGCTATATTTGCTGAGCTTAGAAACATGCCAAAAAGAAATGTCAACCTTATATTCTCTTCAGTGCAAATGGGGAAAATAAAAATCAACACTGCAATAAAATAATTTAATGCAGTACAAATGCTAGAATTAACCAACAACAAAGAACTGAAATGGATGTGACATGAATAGTACCTTGTTCATTTTATGCACACATATGAGGTGCACCTAAACAACTTACAAATCAAATACTTGGTGATAAAGGCAGATAAAAATATCTGTAAAAATTAATCTGTGAAAAGTAATTTTATCTGTATCTGTATGTGCATTACATAATAACTTCTTAATATAGAATATAAACCTTACAGACAAGATTCTTGCAAAAGTTTTCCAAATTTTTCTAGGGTTGTTTGAAACTTTGATAAGTACAAAAATGGTTACTTTATTGTCCACATTCTGCAGGTTCAATGTTTTACAACCCCTTGTATTTCAAAAGCACATTTCAAAACACATGTTAATATATAAAGGAAGAAAAACCCTGGGGTTTAGGCTTATGAGTACAGTATATATTGAATAAGATTACATTTAATATACGAGTTTTTTATTTATTTATTTATTTTTTTTTGAGACGGAGTCTCGCTCTGTCACCCAGGCTGGAGTGCAGTGGCGCGATCTAGACTCACTGCAAGCTCCGCCTCCCGGGTTCACGCCATTCTCCTGCCTCAGCCTCCTGAGTAGCTGGGACTACAGGCACTCGTCACCATGCCCGGCTAATTTTTTGTATTTTTAGGGGTTTCACCATGTTAGCCAGGATGGTCTCGATCTCCTGACCTCGTGATCCGCCCGCCTCGGCCTCCCAAAGTGCTGGGATTACAGGCGCGAGCCACTGCACCTGGCCAATATACAGAGTTTTTATTCAGCAACATACCTGGGTATGAACATCTGCATTTTACATCTCAAGTTTTTTCAAATAGAGAAAATTAAATAGAGAAAGTTCTTGTAAGAAATAAAAAGTGGTGTTAATTCCACCAAAAATTCTGTTAACCCCAATTGGAGACAAACTCAGTCTCAGTCTCTCTCTCTCCTTCTCTCTCTCCTCTCTTTCTCTCTCTCTTTTTCTTTCTCTCCCTGTCTCTCTCTCTTTCTCTCTCTCTGTCTCTCTCTTTCTGTATCTTTCCTGTCTGTCTCTGTCTCTCTGTCTTTCTCTCTGTCTTTCTCTCTCTCTCTCTGTCTCTGTCTCTCTGTCTTTCTCTCTTTATCTGTCTGTCTCTCTGTTTCTGTCTGTCTCTCTCTCTCTGTCTCTGTCTGTCTCTGTCTCTGTCTATCTCTGTCTCTCTGTCTATCTCTGTTTGTCTCTCTCGGTCTCTGTCTCTCTGTCTCTGTCTCTCTCTCTCTGTCTCTGTCCCTGTCTCTGTCTCTCTCCGTGTGTCTCTCCGTCTCTCTTGGCTGAGCAGTTTCTCAGTTACACACAAGAAGTTAACCAAAGCCATAATGATCAATCCAGGGAAAACGTTTTGTTGACAAGGCTTAGCTCTGGCACAGCATCTCTCATGAGCAGAGCTGTAACTCTTGAGAATTCAAAGGTGAGTGAAAGAACAAAAGACAAGAGCAGCTTCCATGGCGAAGTAGCAACTAATATTCACAGAACACACTTTCTAGAGCAAGACTTTCCCGAATCTGGCTTATCAAAAATTCATATTCCCAGAGCCCAGTCTCAGATCTAGTCAATCAGACTTTCCAGAAGCAGAGCCCAAGAATTTGCATTTTATAAATATTCCCAGGCAGCACAGTAACACAGAATAGCATAAGATGAAGCTGCCGACCTAGCCAGCAGGTAGCTAAGGGAGGTCCCTGTAGGTCATAAATAAGAGCTACAGTATGACCCTAGGGTAAAGCATCTCCAAGTGTAACAAGATTGGACTTGGTTTTTAAAAATCAAGGCCAGGTGCAATGGCTCACACCTGTATTCCTAGCACTTTGGGGGGCCCAGGTGGGAGGATCACTTGAGTGCAGGGATTCCAGGCTGCAGTGAGCTATGATTGTTCCATTGCACTCCAGCCTGGGTGACAGAGAGAAATCCTATCTTTTAAAAAGAAAAAAAAAATCACTCTTTTGTGGAGAAGGAACTAAAGAGAGCAGAGTGGACCCATGGAGACTAATTAGGGGACTACCACTTGAGACCAGCCTCAACACTAAGGCGGCTTAGACCAGAGTGATGGCAACAGAAAGAGAAAAAAGGCCAACAGATTGGCTATGGAGGGTGGAGAAAGGGCACAAGATGTAGAGTCAGCCTTCGTGGGTTGGAATTCCATCTTCTGCCGCTTACAAAACAACTGACTCTGGGCAAATTACCCTAAGTCTCAGTTTTCACATCAGAAAATGGAAGTCAGATTAACTGAGTTATTTAAGTTAAGACCAACTAATTGAAGAGATCATGTTAAGTACTTAGCACAGTGCTTGACCCTCAGTCAGTACTGAATGGCATGGCATGAAGAAACAAGAAAAAAAAGCCCCAATTTTCTATGACTTGCTCCTCCACTCCGGCCAACTAAACTGAAAAAACCAAATAGACTCACTTAGATTCATTAATCTGCATTCACCACGGGGTCTAATTGCCCCGTCTTCCACCTTACCCTGAGGAGAACATCATCCACCATTAGTTCTTTACAGCTTATCTCCAAAATGAGTCTGAAATTCCCATTCTATCAAGATTCCACTTTAAAGAACAGACTCTGTAACAACTGTCAAGTGAAATGGTACAATAATGATACTAGATTGGTGTTCACTTATTTGGGGGCAAGTTCCTAAATAAATTCAAAACAGTCTATAAGGAAAGTGAATGTTTTATTACTAAATAGTAAATCAGGCACTCTACTCTTCACTATATACTATTTTTTAAATTTTTATTATTTATTCATTTATTTATTTATTGAGACAAAGTCTCAGCTCACTGCAACATCCACCTCCTGGGTTCAAGCAATTCTCCCATCTCAGCCTCTCAAGTAACTGGGACTAGAGTTGCATGCCACCACGCCCGGCTAATTTTTTGTATTTTTAGTAGAGATGGGGTTTCACCATGTTGGCCAGCCTGGTCTTGAACTCCTGACCTCAAGTGATCTGCCCGCCTTGGCCTCCCAAAGTGCTGGGATTACAAGTGTGAGCCACTGTGCCTGGCCATACTATTTTTTTTTTTTTTTTTTTTTGAGACAGAGTCTTGCTCTGTCGCCCAGGCTGGAGTGCAGTGGCACAATCTCAGCTCACTGCAACCTCCGCCTCCTGGGTTCAAGCAATTCTCCTGCCTCAGCCTCCCAAGTAACTGGGACTATAGGCACATACCACCAAGTCTGGCTAATTTTTTGTATTTTTTTTTTTTTTTTAGTAGAGACGGGGTTTCTCCATGTTAGCCAGGATGGTCTCGATCTCCTGACCTCGTGATCTGCCCACCTTGGCCTCCCAAAGTACTGGGATTACAGGTGTGATCCACTGATCCACTGAGCCCAGCCATACTATTTTTTTAAATCACTTTGAACGTGGCATATGTAGACCCTATCCTTCAGTTACACAATCTACACCTGGGAAGAAGAGTGATTATATGTACCAACAGATGTCACCCTCAAAGACCAGCTAATTGATGCATGAAGCTCAAAACCTGTCTCCTGAGCACCCCTGTCTGCAGGCTATTGTGTCAAATGTTGTAGCATTCTAACACACATAATGCAAGATTTCTGCCTCGACCCTTGGCCTGGCTTTGGCTGCCATCTATTTTGAATATGAAAATCGCCTCATTGTCCCAGCACCCTCACTCATACCTGTGATTCCAGCACTTTGGGAGGCTGAGGCAGGAGGATCACTTGAGGCCAAGAGTTCAAGACCAGCCTGTGCAACATAGCCAGAACCTGTCTCTACAAAAAATATAAAAATTAGCAGAGTGTGGTGGTACGTGCCTGTGGTCCTCGCTACTCGACAGTCTGAAGCTGCAGTGTCATATAATTGCACCATTGTACTCCAGCCTGGGTCACAGAGCAAGACCCTGTCTCAAAAAAAAAAAAAAAAAAAAAAAAAAAAATAGAAAAAGAAAAAGAAAAATTGCCTCATTGTAGTAAAAACATTAAGTGCATGTCAAATACAATACTAAAGAAAAAGTTTTTCCCCTATAATATATACATATATATATTACTATGTATCCATGAAAATTAAAAAATAAAGGGCAGTGGCAGCGGAGATGGAGGAGGGAGGATGGGACAAGACGCTGGTGCAGTCCCAGCAGCCCCCAGCGGCGGCCCTCAGCGGCATGGATGAGAAGCCAAGCGGCAAGGAGCGGCGGGATGCCGGGGACAAGGACAAAGAACAGGAGCTGTCTGAGGAAGATAAACAGCTTCAAGATGAACTGGAGATGCTTGTGGAATGACTCGGGGAGAAGGACACATCCCTGTATCGACCAGCGCTGGAGGAAATGCGAAGGCAGATTCGTTCTTCTACAACTTCCATGACTTTGGTGACCAAGTCTCTCAAATGTCTGCGTCCACACTATGGCAAACTGAAGGAAATGTATGAGAACATGGCCCCTGGGGAGAATGAGCATTTTGCTGCTGACATCATCTCTGTTTTGGCCATGACCATGAGTGGGGAGTGCGAGTGCCTCAAGTATCGGCTAGTAGGCTCCCAGAAGGAATTGGCATCATGGAGTCATGAGTATATCAGGCACCTGGCAGGAGAAGTGGCTAAGGAGTGGCAGGAGCTGGATGATGCAAAGAAGGTCCAGCAGGAGCCACTGCTCACTCTGGTGAAGGAAATCGTCCCCTACAACATGGTCCACGACGCAGAGCATGAGGCCTGTGACCTTATGGAAATTGAGCAGGTGGACATGCTGGAGAAGGACATTGATGAGAATGCATACACAAAGGTCTGCCTTTATCTCACCAGTTGTGTGAATTATGTGTCTGAGCCTGAGAACTCAGTCCTACTGCGTTGTGCCCTGGGTGTGTTCTGAAAGTTTAGCCGCTTTCCTAAAGCTCTGAGATTGGCACTGATGCGCAATGACATGGAGCTGGTAGAAGACATCTTCACATCCTGCGAGGATGTGGTAGTACAGAAACAGATGGCATTCATGCTAGGCTGGCATGGGGTGTTCCTGGAGCTGAGTGAAGATGTCAAGGAGTATGAGCACCTGACAGAGATCATGTCCAATGTACAGCTCAACAGCAACTTCTTGGCCTTAGCTCGGGAGCTGGACATCATGGAGCCCAAGGTGCCTGATGACATCTACAAAACCCACCTAGAGAACAACAGGTTTGGGGGCAGTGGCTCTCAGGTGGACTCTGCCCGCATGAACCTGGCCTCCTCTTTTGTGAGTGGCTTTGTGAATGCAGCTTTTGTTTAAGACAAGCTGCTAACGATGATGGCAACAAATGGCTTTACAAGAACAAGGACCACGGAATGTTGAGTGCAGCTGCATCTGTTGGGATGCTGCTGCTGTGGGATGTGGATGGTGGCCTCATTCAGATTGAGAAGTAACCTGTACTCCTTTGAGGACTACATTAAGTCAGGAATTCTTCTTGCCTGTGGCATAGTGAACTCTGGGGTCTGGAATGAGTGTGTCCCTGCTCTGGGACTGCTTTCAGACTATGTTCTCCACAACAGCAACACCATGAGACTTGGTTCCATCTTTGGGCTAGGCTTGGCCTACGCTGGCTCAAATCATGAAGATGTCCTAACACTGCTGCTGCCTGTGATGGGAGATTCAAAGTCCAGCATGGAGGTGGCAGGTGTGACAGCTCTAGCCTGTGGAATGATAGCAGTGGGGTCCTGCAATGGAGATGTAACTTCCACTATCCTTCAGACCATCAGGGAGAAGTACTGAGCTCAAGGACTCTTATGCTCGTTGGCTTCCTCTTGGACTGGGTCTCAATCACCTGGGGAAGGGTGAGGCCATCGAGGCAATCCTGGCTGCACTGGAGGTTGCATCAGAGCCATTCCGCAGTTTTGCCAACACACTGGTAGATGTGTGTGCATAGGCAGGCTCTGGGAATGTGCTGAAGGTGCAGCAGCTGCTCCACGTTTGCAGCGAACACTTTGACTCCAAAGAGAAGGAGGAAGACAAAGGCAAGAAGGAAAAGAAGGACAAGGACAAAAAGGAAACCCCTGCTGACATGGGAGCACATCAGGGAGTGGCTGTTCTGGGGATTGCCCTTATTGCTGTGGGGGAGATTGGTGCAGAGACGGCACTATGAACCTTTGGCCACTTGCTGAGATATGGGGAGCCTGCACTCCGGAGGGCTGTACCTTTAGCACTGGCCCTCATCTCTGTTTCAAATCAACATCCTGGATACCCTAAGCAAATTATCTCATGATGCTGATCCAGAAGTTTCCTATAACTCCATTTTTGCCATGGGCATGGTGGGCAGTGGTACCAATAATGCCCGTCTGGCTGCAATGTTGCGCCAGTTAGCTCAATATCATGCCAAGGACCCCAACGACCTCTTCATGGTGCACTTGGCACAGGGCCTGACACATTTAGGGAAGGGTACACTTACCCTCTGCCCCTACCACAGTGACTGGCAGCTTATGAGTCCAGTGGCCATGGCTGGGCTGCTCACCGTGCCTCTCTCTTTCCTGGATGTTCGAAACATTATTCTAGGCAAATCACACTATGTATTGTATGGGCTGGTGGCTGCCATGCGGCCCCGAATGCTGGTTACGTTTGATGAGGAGCTGAGGCCATTGCCAGTGTCTGTCCATGTAGGCCAGGCAGTGGATGTGGTGGGCCAGGCTGGCAAGCCTAAGACCATCACAGGGTTCCAGACACATACAACCCCAGTGTCGTTGGCCCACGGGGAACGGGCAGAATTGGCCACTGAGGAGTTTCTTCCTGTTACCCCCATTCTGGAAAGTTTTGTTATCCTTCGGAAGAACCCCAATTATGATCTCTAAGTGACCACCAGGGGCTCTGAACTGCAGCTGATGTATCAGTGGGCCATGCATCCTGCTGCCAAGGGTGGACACAGCTGCAGACTTCCGGGGGAATTGTTGCCTCCTGCTCTTTTGTTACTGAGTGAGATAAGGTTGTTCAATAAAGACCTTTATCCCCCCCCAAAAAATATAAATAAATAAATAAATAAATATGAAAAGGTTTTCTCCACTTGTCCTATGACCCTGGGACCATGGCTCAGAAGTCTTCTTGTCCATCCATCTTCAGTAAATATAATCAAAATACAATTAATATTTACCAAAACCTGAGGTAACTTTCAGATTCAAAATAGCTCGGTTCATTACAGTCTTTAATCTCAGTTATATTTTGGCTTTGCACTAGCAGCTTTATTTTTTTCAAAGACACCCTCTTTTCATGCTCCTGACTGGGTCAGCAGGAGCCTCAATATAGCCTAACTGGGACCATGAGAAGCTCAATATCAGAAAACACTGATGACAATGAAGCCGCCGTACTCCTACCTACAGGCTTAAATGCAGCACCCTTGTAACTTCAAAGCTACAGGGAGACTCTGATATATTTCTGATCTGCATCCAAAGTGCATTCCATCAGTCTGTGATCAAAACTGTCCTCCTCTCATGTAGCGACTTCAGAATGAATCAGTGTTGCCAAGTTTTTCACACATAGCATCATGGGAACTAAGTCTAAATTACCTTAGAAATTGTGGTTCCAATTCAGATTTGGCTTTGAGCATCTGGTTCCCCCAGGCCGAATGTCCCAACTCAACCACCCAACTTCTGAGGACTTCCCTCAGAAGCACCATGTGAGCCCTGTCCAACGTGCCACATAGACACATTCTCTCCTGTCCTAAGAGTAAATAGTGAAATCCAGTCTCAGCAACTATCCTGTCCCCTTCATTTCATTGCACAAAATGCAAACATAGGAGACACTTAAAATTCTTGTTTTCAAAGTTCTCATTTCACCATGATGTTTAAAGTATATGGCTGGGCGTGGTGGCTCACGCCTGTAATCCCAGCACTTCGGGAGGTCAAGGTGGGCAGATTACCTGAGGTCAGGAGTTCAAGACCATCCTGGCCAACATGGTGAAACCCCATCTCTACTAAAAATATAAAAAAAGTAGCTGTGTGTGGTGGCGGGCACCTGTAATCCCAGCTACTCGGGAGGCTGAGGTAGGAGAATCACTAGAACCGTGGGGGCAGAGTTTGCAGGGGGAGGAGTTTGCAGTGAGCCGAGATCGTGCCATTGCACTCCAAACTGGATGACAGAGTGAGACTCCATCCCAAAAATAAATAAATAAATAAATAAAATACCGTTGCCTGTTATTTTTCATGCAGATTTTTCATGCAGATTACTCATGCTAAGCTTCACTCTTGTCTTAGGCTGTCTTCCATCTTTGAATCCCTAGTATTTTCTTAAAAGTATCCCTGACATCTTTTTCAAAGATCTCTAAAAATGTCCAGGATTCTTCATAACACATTCACCTGACCCAGAAGTCAGGTAATTAGTTTGTTAAAGAAATACTTGTTACCCAACTACATTTAACAAATGTACAGGGCCATTAACTACCAATAGTATGAGGAAAGTTAGACTCTGTTGTAAATGAAAGAAATTTTCCTTTTCTAATAGAAGTCAGTGCAGCATGGGGAAAAAGCAAACTGCCCTGAACAGCAGGAGACTAAGATTCTGGCTCTGTCAAAGCTATTTTGGACAGAAAAGTCACTTCACCTTTTCAGCTCAAATGTCTTCACTTGCCAATTTAAGAGAACTGGGCTATATTAAATACTTGTCTTCTTCAGTTTTGGTGTTTTTATTATTCCCTCATAAAACAGCAAATTAGTCAAGTATGTACACTGTACAGACACATGGCTTGAAATAATTAAAAGAGGAAAATTCTTCCCATATCCTGGGATAGGCTATGTTTGATAGGCAAATCAGGAAATACCTTGAAAACTTCTGCAAAATGGAAGAGACTTCCCACCCACCCCCCACAGAATTTAACCTGGACATGAGCTGTTCTACATATAAAATCCTGTAAATATCATGAAGTAAAATTACAAAGCACAGAAAGAGAAGTCACTCTCAGGAAAACAGCAGGCCCCAGCAGTCATTTTACAGACTATATATCCAAAGGAGGAAACAGTTTTGTGTTCCAACCTGCGTGGATCTGTGTTGTGGCAAGTTAGGGTCAGAGATAGCCAGAAATGCAAAAATGCAGTTGAAGGTTTTGTGTTGGTAATGGAACTTCAAAGCAAGGAAGAAAATGAACGTAATTTTCTTGTGCTTCAGTGTATTCTGCAAAAGGAAAATAAAAACTATCTCACCAGGCTTGTAATGAAGATTAAAACAGTTAATAATTGTAAAGTGCTTAAAACAGAGCCTGGTACATAGAAAGCTTAATGTGTTTTTAAATACTGAAAACAGTTTGTTTGTTTTTTAAAGCACCAGTACAAAAAAAACTGACAATGACCTGCAAACTGGTTACACACTGGAATGGGAACCATGATTAGCAAATCATTCACACCCAGAGGAAGAAAGAAAGTGAGAGTAAGCCAATGCAAGCACTCACCTTCACGCAATCTTAGCCAGCAGACCACTCACCAGGCCACACCCTCCAGCAGCTTACCAACTGAAACCAATTTATCTACCCAATAATACCTGTAGGCATCCTATCCGAACCCCCTCAGCCTCCAGACCTTGAGAATCTTGGCTCCCCTCCTTTCTACCATTCACCCTCTCTGGTCTTCTGACTTTGTAGCCTACTCTTTAAACCACCCCTTTAGGCTGATACCTTCAATTCCCACCCTCACTAACCTTCCGATACATCTACCTGAGCAAAAAGCCCAAGTGCACAGAGCTAATCACACACGTGGACTGACTTCACCTCCCATCTTCCCACCACACCCTACACCCCTCGTCTCCAAACCTCAGCCTGCTGAAATCTGGGCAGCGCTCTCAGCGCTCCACTGGAATTCCTCTCTACTAGGGTATTATCAGTAGCTTTCAGTCTTTATCTTGATTTCTTGGCAACACTGAATATCACTTAACACTCCTTCTTTCTTTTTAAAAAATATCTTGTTTTTTTGTCTTTATCATTCTCTTTGTAGCTTTTTTCCCCTTATTGGGTAAGTATTTATCTATACGTCAGTCTCTTCTTGCTTCCCATTCTACTGGCACTTTCCAGAGCATAATGGCTTCAAGTATCATCTACACACTGAAGAGTCGTCAATCTCTCTTCTCCTAGGCTCTCTCTCCTGACCTCAGATACAAAAAACTAATGGCCTTTTTGTATATATTTAAAGAGGTATCCTCAAATTCAGTAGGATTTTAATTGAACCAATCATCCCCACAACCTGCTCCTCATTGTGAATTTTACACACAGTGTGAATTGCATCACCCTCTATCTACCCTAGTGCTCAGACCAGAAACCTGGACATTCTCCTTGTCTCTGCCCACTCCCTTACCTTTACATGAGCAACCAAATCCCCAAGGCTTCTCACGTCTACCCTCTAAGGCAGCACTTCTTAAAGTGTGGTCCCCGACCGGCATCATTGGCATCACCTGGGAAGTTGTTAGAAATGCAAATGCTCTGATCTCAACTCAGACCAGCTGAATCAGAAACTTGGGGGTGGGGCCAGCAATCTGTGTTGTAACAAGCCCTTCGGGGGATTCTGACTCTTGGAGTTTGAGATTAGTAGGAGTAACAATATTAATCCAAGTATAATTAGAATCTGCCTTTTATTTAATCCCAAATTTCTTTCCCAAATATAAGTAAGATTATTTTATTAATTAACTATTGTGGTATTATGAGAAGAAAATTAAGATGTATGATTTGTTAAAGGAAAAGCTCCAATTCTTGTACTAGTGCAACTCCCTGGATACTTGGAAGTCCTTTAAAAGGGGGAAAAACAAATTGTGTGACCACATGCAATTTTTTTTTGTTTTTTGAGACAGAGTCTCGCTCTGTTGCCCAGGCTGGAGTACAGTGACATAATCTTGGCTCACTGCAACCGCCAGCTCCTTGGTTCAAGCGATTCTCTTGCCTCAGCCTCCCAAGTAGCTGGGACTACAGGCATGCACCACCATGCCTGACTAATGTTTGTATTTTTTTTTTTTAGTAGAGATGAGGTTTCACCAATTTGGCCAGGCTGGTCTTGAACTCCTGACCTTAAGTGATCCGCCCGCCTCAGCCTCCCAAAGTGCTGGGATTACAGCCATGAGCCACCGTGCTCGGCCCACATGTAATACTTTTTAAAAATAAAAGGATTTTCTACTACCTAACTCCTTCATAGTTGAGGGCACTGTTCTCTCCTGGATTGCTGCAACGGTTTCCTCAGGGTCTTCCAGCATCCTAACCACAAACACAGCACACCCCTCAGTCCCTACTCCTCTAACACCCAGAATGCTCTCTCTAAAACACGCGACTGACCACGTCATACTCCTCCACCTAACACCCTCCACCGGCTTCCTACTGCTCCTGAGAATAGGGTTCACTTCTTAAACGTTTCTTCCAGAAGCCTTCACAAATGCCTCTGGGTCCCAGGCAGCATTTCTCTTTTCTTTTTACTTTTTTTTTTTTTTTTTTTTTTGAGATGGAGTCTTGCTCTATCACCCAGGCTGGAGTGCAGTGGTGTGATCTCAGCTCACTGCAACCTCTGCCTCCCGGATTCAAGGGATTCTCCTGCCTCAGCGCACACGACTGCACCCGGCTAATTTTTGTATTTGTAGTAGAGACAAGGTTTCACCATGTTGGCCAGGCTGGTCTCAAACTTCTGACCTCAAGTGATCTGCCCCTTGGCCTCCCAAAGTGTTGGGATTACAGGTGTGAGCTACCGCCCCTGGCCACAGTACCATTTGTTAAGACGCCTCTTCTGTTCCTCCTCCTGTACACTGGGCTCCAGGCTCCGGGCATCCTCGACCACTCAAAACCTGAAAACTCTTCTATCACCCTTTATCAACTACTGTACCACCGTGTCTGTTCACCCAGTAGCCCCTTTCCACAGTAAGCTACACAAGAACAAGAAAAGGCCCTATATTTTTCATAGAAAAATTCCATAAATATTGTGTGACTGGCTGGTGAGCACACATGGTAAGAGACAGAAAGAAAAGCTCAGAGAATAAATTTACTATCTATGTATTACATGAGTATAGAGCAGGGGCTAGCCAACCACAGCCTGCCAGCCAAATATGGCCAGGTGCTCTGTTTTGTAATACAAAGTTTTATTAGGAAACACAGCCGTGCTTATTAGTGGCGTATTGTCCGTGGCTGCTTTTACACCACAACAGTGGACTTGAGTAGTTGTGACAGGCACTGTAAAATATTTACTAAAGCCTAAAATATTTTCTATCTGGCCCTTTACAGAAAAACTTGCCAACCCCTGATCTAGACAATAAAGGTAATAACAGGAGAATAAATCTTCTTTCAGATTTCCAAAGTCCAGTACAAATTGGGAGGACCTAAAAAAAAACAAAAAACAAGAAACAAAAAAACCCTTTAAGCTCCTGAATTAAGTCATGTTTTCTCTGTACAGGGTCCTTCACTTTGCCATAGAGTCCCAATTTTTTTTTTTTTTTTTTTTTTTTTGAGACGGAGTTTCACTCTGTCACCCAGGCTGGAGTGCAGTAGCGCGATCTCGGCTCACTGCAATGTCCGCCTCTTGGGTTCAAGCGATTCTCTTCCCTCAGCCTCCCTAGTAGCTGGGATTAGAGGCACCCACACCACGCCCAGCTAATTTTTGTATTTGTAGTAGAGACAGGGTTTCACCATGTGGGTCAGGCTGATCTCAAACTCCTGACCTTGTGCTCCGCCCACCTTGGCCTCCCAAAGTGCTGGGATTACAGGTGTGAGCCACCGCACCAGGCCAGATTCCCAATTTTATACTCCTCCTGGCTCTTGAGAAAAGGAAAAGGAGGTCAGAAGAAATACAAGTCACATCAATAGAACTAATTAATATTCAGTGCATCTACAGGAGAAAGACAAGAAAAGAAAATCATGACAGAAAAGTCGAGCTGAGTCACCCCTTTTAATAAAAGTCCATCATACAAATTCAAAATGAATTCTGAGTCACCCAACACTGTTTGCCAAATGGGTGATTAAAAAAAAGTACCAGTTGTGAAAGTCAAAATGGATATCTAAAACAGCATAATCCTCTTAAAGGAGGAAAAAACAATCATGAAGAAAGTATGTCATTGTCTTAAAAAGTCTGATTGCCACGAGTGTGTTTTTTAAAAATCTATTTTTCTAAGCTTCAATTAACTTTACTGTTGGGAAGCATTCTAAAATCTATGAAACTACTGACTGGTAGCACTTCCTCTGAGCTCAGAAAACTTCATGATCGGGGGAATAACAATAACTATCATTACTACTTTTGCAACGATGCACTTGAATTGAGCATAACGGGGGAAAAACATCACCCGTTTTGCCCTCTGAAATAAGATACATAAATGGCAACACATATTAGAAATTTATTAAATCACGTACCGGATCAGAAAAATAAAATAATCTCAAAATAGGCTTAAACATAATAATCTCCAACTATGCTTAAAAATACATATGCTTAAACACATATGTATAAAAACTTGGTTACTGATTACTACAAGATCCAGTCATACAAACATTCACTGAGTAGTAACTGGGGACAAATTACTATAAATTGATTAAAAAAAAAAAAACATGACTAGGCATGGTGGCTCATGCCTGTAATCCCAGCACTTTGGGAGGCCGGGGTGGGCAGATCACCTAAGGTCAGGAGTTCAAGGCCCTCTGGCCAACATGGTAAAACCCCATCTCTACTAAAAATACAAAAATTAGCTGTGCATGGTGGCATGTACCTGTAGTCCCAGCTACTCGGAAGGCTGAGACACGAGAATCGCTTGAACCCAGGAGGCGGAGGCTGCAGTGAGCCGAGATCGCACCACTGCACTCCAACTGGGTGACAGAGTGAGACTCTGTCTCAAAAAAAAAAAAAAAAGAAACATGACAAAGTCCTTTCGAAAATGATAGATTCCAGAGAATTAACAATTTTTAAAATATATATTGAAAGCCTTCTACTTCACACTGAACTATCTGACTACAAACAGAGGGGACATAATTTAACTCACTATACAATCAATATTGTGGTAAAGAAAAGTTCCCCATACGAGGCAATTTTTTTCAAACCATATAACAAGTGCATAGCCTTCAAAGAAAGAAATCGAGTAGGAACTTCTGGATACATATCCACTTATTATATTCTTTATGAAATAAATTGACTTCATAAGAAAAAAGTAATATTGGATTGGAAAATATCCCTTACAGAAAACTCAGTAAGCAGATTTCTTCCTATTTATATGTATTGACTGTTCCCATCCATGATTTTACCCCACAAGAAATTATCCAATCAAGAAAATAAAATGAACTCTTTGAAAGAGAAGAGCAATGTTGTGTAGCAAAACAATCTCCAGCCCTCTCTGGTTCCTCCCTGTCTTAGGAATTCTAGATGAAATGGAGGTCCCTATTCTTTGGTGAGGTGCTAGGGAAAGCAAAACGATTCATTCTTCCATGCCACGTTATCTGTCAAGTATGCCAGACACTTGCACACATACACACAGAGAGCTAAATAAGCACAACGCATGTCAATATTCAAGTGCAATACTTCCACAGACTGACCTAGGGAAAGCATGGAGTCACTACGGGATGGTCATGAACATAACACCAAGTGGGCATGACAGATTTCCCTTCACAATTTGCAGTTACCTCCCCGTAGCTTTCCCTACTCTTTCCATTTCCCTTCCACTCCATCCAGAAAGATGTGGGGGCATGAGGGTTGGTGAAGGAATGTGGTAATTATAGCAGTAAAATTAAGTAAAATGGATTGAGAAAGGAGGATGGCAATAAGCCCAGAAGAAGAGATCCAATACAGAGTCAACTCCCAGACTAATAAATTAATTCCAGAACACAGCCAGATCCCATCCCTTCTCCCATCTTCTCCCTCTTCAAGTGTTTTCTTTTTTCTCTCTGTCTCTCTTTATTTGTTGTTTTTGTTTGTTTTTTGGTGGGACAGGGTCTCACTCTATTGCCCAGGTGGAAGTGCAGTGGTGCAATCACAGCTCATTGCAACCTCAACCTCCCAGGCTCAAGTGATCCTCCCACCTCTCCAATAGCTGGGACTACAGGTGTGCACCACCACACCTGGCTAATTTTTTAAATTTTTTGTAAAGACAGAGTCTCCCTATATGGCCCAGGCTGGTCTCATACTCCTGGGCTCAAGCGATCCTCCTGCCTCAGCTTCCCAATCCCAAAGTGCTGGGATTACAGGTGTGAGCCACCACACCCAGTCCAAGTGTTTTCAAGATTATCAAACATAGGCAACCTTTGATCATTCAAGACAATTCACTGAATAGATTCTCCAGTTCCTCCTCACTGCAGTCATCATGGCTTTCCTACAGCTCTCTTCTTTACAAAATCAAGGCATATTTATTAAACAGTTATGCCTGATTCTGTAATAAGAACTTGAAAGGCAATAATATTAAATACCAATCACTAATAATTACCTAGCATTGATGATGTGCTAGACATTGTGCTAAATGCCTAATAAATTAATCTCATTTAATCTTCAAAACAACTCCAGAGATTATTAGACATGAAAAATTTTAATGTGACCTTGGGTAAATGTTTTCACCTCTTAAGTGGGTGGAGAAGATGGGATTAGAATCCAGTCTAGGACTAGAGACCACTCCTAACTACTCTGGGGAGATCTGTCAGGTAAACACAAGGACACAGCATTACATTGTTCAAGGAACCTTCACACAATATTTAATTTGCATTCAGGTGTTACAGGGTAAATAGGCAATTATAATATGTGTAATATATCCTTTGAGAGAGAAAATGCAGACTGAGATGGCTAAAGAAGATGTCTGGGAAGGAATGGCATCTAACTCTGAATAGCATCCTATGAGAAAGAGTGGAGGCTAACTGGGAAATAATAGTGGGGAGCAGAAGTAGAGGTGCCCACAGAGCCCCACAAGTGAGAGAAGACATGGACAATTAGGAAAATCAATAACACTTCAGCGTGGCAAAAGAGTTTGGAAAGGAAAGTGGGTCAGGAGAGGTAGAAGTGGGAAAGTATTGAAAGGCAGAAGGAAGACCATGGAGATCCAAAGAAGCTGGAGTTTATTCTGATAGAGAAACAATTAAAATGACATGGCCAGGTGCGGTGTTTCATGCCTGTAATCCCGTCACTTTGGGAGGCCAAGGCAGTAGGCTCACTTGAGCCCAGGAGATCAAGACCAGCCTTGGCCACATAAGGAGACCCCACCTCTATTAAAAAAATTTTTTTTAATTAGCTGGTCATGGTGGCATTTGCATTTAGTCCCAGCTATTTGGGAGGCTGAGGTGAGAGGAACGGTTGAGCCCAGGAGGTTAAGGCAGGCAGTGAGCTGTGATCACCCAACTGCACACCAGCCTGGATGACAGAGCAAGATGCTGTCTCAAAAAATAAAATAAAACAACATGATCAGACATATATCACTAGATTTCTCAACCTTGGCACTACTGACATTTTGCACATTTTGTAATTCTTTGTTAGGGGAAAGAAGGAGATGTCCTGTGCATTTAGAATGCTTGGCAGTGCCCCAGTCTCTACCCACTAGAAGCTAGTTGCACCCCTCTCCCTACTGTGAGAACCCCAAATGTCTTTGGACATTGTCAAATGTCCTCTGCAGGGCAACATAACCCTGGAATGAGAACCACTAGACAAGGCTGAGGAGACTGGACTGGAAACCAGTAACAGGCAAACCCAAGAAGGTAATGAAAAGGCCAATGTGATCATCCAAGCCAAACGATGACTGAACCTGAAAGGTGATTTTTCCAATCCTCCCTCATACCGCGACCCTCTAATCTAGCCCTCCATGATCATCTAGAGAGTATTCCACGTCCATCCTGAGCGTAACCCACTCCACTTCCAAAGCCCGTATCACCCAGGGGTATCAGCATCTACCCCTCCTCATCACAGACCCTGACAAACCTCCTTGGTATAGCCTTCACATGTCAAGGACTTTACCACATGGTCCTCTCTCTGCTTCTCAAGGTTGACTCTTCTACATTCTATGGGACATTAAGTCCCAGCCAACACCCTGAGCTTCTCAATTCTAATCACAACGAGCCTACCTCTCCACCATGGACTGGTCTTTGGAATGAGTAGAACACCTCCACCTCTGAAGTCTTAAACACCAATATCCTTCCCTCTGGCCACAACCACCAATGAATTCATTCTCTCTATATTCTCACTACATCTAATTATTCTCCACTGTCCTTAAGAACTTTAATCTTTTGATTGGTCAACTTTCTCTTAATTTACGAGATTTATTTGCTCATGATTTTACCATACAACCTATGGTCTATGCCAGCAATATCAGTTCCCTTGCCCTTGAGGTATAGCCTCCATAAAGTCCCAAATAATCACAAATTCTAGATGTCAAAAGAGAATGATCATTCTCTCTGAAATCTGTTCCGTCTTTAGTATTCTAACTCTTTAGTACAGTATCCCAGAAATGTGAACCAGAAACTCAAAGAAATCATCTACTCCACTTCCTCACATCCAATCAAATGGCAAGTCCTGTCGGTTCTAAATCCTAAAGATTCCCTATAGCTGGCTCTTTCCAATCCCACTGCCTCTGTTTCAGTTCAGACACTCTTCTGATCACTCAGATGCTAATTTTAGTTTTCTTCAATCCATTCTCCAATCTGCCACCACAGTGATATTTTACAAATGCCAATCTGTTTATGGCTTAACTACTCAAAATTATTCAAAAGCACCCCCAGGTTGTCTTTGTTTACATCCCTGGTCTCCTTTCTACGCATCATTCTCCCAATTTATACTCCGGAAATACTTAGAAACTGTGCTCACATGCACCCCTGTGCCTTTCTATGTGCTGCCCAGTATACAGACTTTTTTTTTTTCTTTTTGAGACAGAGTCTCGCTCTGCTGCCCAGGCTGGAGTGCAATAGTGCGATCTTGGCTCACTGCAACCTCCGCCTCCTGGGTTCAAGCGATTCTCATGCCTCAGTCTCCTGAGTAGCTGGGATTACAGCCATGTGTCAAGACACCTGGCTAATTTTGTATTTTTAGTAGAGGCGGGGGTTTCACCATGTTGGTCAGGCTAGTCTCGAACTCCTGACCTCAGGTGATCTGCCCACCTCAGCCTCCCAAAGTGCTGGGATTACAGGCGTGTGAGCCACCGCACCCGACCTATAGACTTCTTTCATGGCTGTTCCCCACAGCAAACTCCTACGCATGCCTCAGGTCTTGCCCCAGGTGTTATCTCCTGAGTTATCAAGGAGACCCAGTTAAAAACCTTCCCCTTTGCTCCTTGTACTATAAATATCTCCACTTGGAGCCTAAACACGATTGTGACCCATGGTAACAGGCAAAGGGCATTGAACACTTACTATATGCCTGTAGTGTGCAAAATGCTTTATTCGTATCCATACTTTCCTCTCACTCAGAAACTACTATATTTATTCCTCATTTTACCCAAGAAGAAATAAACTTTCAGAAATCCAGCCATTTACCTAAGCTTGCAGCATAGTTGAGAAATCCTGGACACTTTGACTGTGGAGCCCACTTCAACCACTAAGCTCCAATAATTTACTTCCATGTGTTTATTTCTTTAAAGTGAATCGTAAGCCAGTTCAGGATAGAACCTTTCTTTTCATCTTTGTGTTCCTAATAACAGGGCAGGGGCTTGGGGGACAGGTGTTGTAAGGGAAAGAGGGAGCTGAGAAGTACAAGCGGAAGTCATAATTAAATACGAAGAACCTGACCTAAATTAGAAGAGAAAGAATTTAAGAATTCCATGAAATGGCAAGAATGAGCTGAAAAATAAAAAATATTGAGAATACAGGGGGAAAAGCTATGTTTCTTCACCCAAAAAAGAAAATAAGAGGCAGTCGAAAACTTTGTTGTGCTGGATGGGAGTTCCCTGTATAAGAAAAGGATAAGCCAAATGTAAACTAAACTAAATATGGGATACTTTTGAGCAAGTGATTGTTTACTAAAAACACAGAATTCAGCTGGGCGTGGTGGCTCACGCCTGTAATCCCAGCATTTTGGAAGGCTGAGGCAGGTGGATCTCTTGAGGTCACGAGTAAGAGACCAGCCTGGCCAACACAGTGAAACCCTGTTTCTACTAAAAATACAAAAAATTAGCCGGGCGTGGTAGCATCCACCTGTAATCCCAGCTACTCAGTAGGGTGAGGCAGGAGAATAGCCTGAAACCAGGAGGCAAAGTTTGCAGTGAGCTGAGATTATGCCATTGCCCTCCAGCCTGGGTGACTGAGTGAGACTCTGTCTCAAAATAAATAAATAAATAAATAAAACCACAAAATTCTTTTGAACTTGACCCAGGAAAATCCTTGTTTGAGTGGCCTGGGGGTTGTGATATTGGAATACTGAAAAGGAAGCAAAATCAGAATATATCTGCCTCTGCAGTGCAATATTCACACAGCATCCATATGTCTTTCAACTTATAGATAAACTATTAACCTTAAAAGTATGCCCTAAACATAAAAGTGTATCTGGTAGAAGCTGGGAGGTAAACAGGGCTCAGACTAAATGAAGGCAAAAGTAGAGACACTAATAGTGTAACTATTACACGGTGAGTGGGGTGGCAAGAGATACGATCTGAATTTGATGAAACAATATCAAAAAATCATAAGCATATTATTTAAAATTCAAAGAAGTATTATGAAAGAAAACTCAAAATAGCAATATTAATTATATTAGAAGGAAGAAGGAGAGACAAGGAAGGAGTATAAAGGAGCTAAATCCTCATGCATGACCGCCAGAAGGCAAGAGCAATGTCAATAATGGTGGCTGGGCGTGATGGCTCATGCCTGTAATTCCAGCACTTTGGGAGGCTGAGGGGGTGGATCACTTGAGGTCAGGAGTTCGAGACCAGCTTGGGCAACATGGCCAAACCCCATCTCTACTAAAAATACAAAAATTAGCTGGCCATGGTGGTATGTGCCTATAGTCCCAGCTACTCAGGAGGCTGAGGCAGGAGAATCGCATGAACCTGGGAGGCGGAGGTTGCAGTGAGTTGAGATCACGCCACTGTACTCCAGCCTGGGTGACAGAGACTCCATCTCAAAAAAAAAAAAAAAAAAAGGCATCAGCAGGCATTAACATACAGCAAGTCCACATAGCTTATATAAATTTTGGTAAACAAAATCATCAGCTAAAATAATTGTTAAAGTTGGTCTGAAAAAATTAAGTATCATCTTAATACCATCTTTAAAATAAAAACAACTTTGAAAGTTGATACTGTACACAACGTTTCAAAAATAAATATACAGCAAAAAATATATACGTATATCTATATTCTCTTAGAGCTGAAAGATGTGGCAAGGCTTTTGTTGCTTCTCAGGAAAAGATCTGTGTGGGCTTGACTAAATAGCATTAAAATGTTTTTCCTGCTCTGGAAAAAAAAATGAATTCAAGGCTGGGCTAGGTGGCTCACACCTATAATCCCAGCACTTTGGGAGGCCAAAGCAGGTGGATCACCTGAGGTCAGGAGTTCAAGACCAGGGTGGCCAACATGGTAAAACCTCGTCACTACTAAAAATACAAAAATTAGCTCGGCGTCGTGGTGCCTGCCTATAATCCCAGCTACTTAGGAGGCTGAGGCAGGTGAATCCCTTGAACCCAAGAGGCGGAGGTTGCAGTAAGCCAAGATCGCGCCACTGCACTCCATCCTGGGCAGCATAATGAGATTCTGTCTCAAAAAAGAAAAAAAAATGAATTCAAATGCACATAATAATTTCTGTTTGTCCACTTAAGTCTTCTTTTTGTCTACGGTAACAATGAGTAGAGCATATTTCATTAGTTTTCCGGGACTGGCTGCTGTTGGTTTTGATTAACAGCTTCATCTTTCAACAGGTTCAAGATCTTATTTCTTGGGTTTCTTTTTAACCTGAATTGTTATGTCTTCCTTGTCTTTAATTTTAGCTTCGCTCACATATTCATCCAAACCGATGTCCATTTACATACATATCAAGGAGCTCTTGCCCATCTGGTGAGCAAGGGATCACCACATGTTTAGCAAAATCAGCAGATCTGCCAAACCCAAACAAGTCCAGCAACCAAAAACATGCATCCAAAAATATCCTGCTAGGCAGACATTTAAAGATAAGCTCATGAAGGATTAAGTAGATTTAGAATCACCTACCCCTGCAAAAATGGTTGGGTCAAGTAAACTTGCTTAACTCTTGGTGATGTAAGTAGATCATATAATATATGCCACAGTTAGGATTAAAGAAATCCTAGAAGAGCTTGTTAATGAATAATCAACAATTATGTAAGATAAGTGTGGTTGGCTGGAAAATATGCATATGACCCAAAAAAAGGGATCTCATTTGGAAAAAGGCATGAGAGAAATGACTAGAGTAGGTTCCAAATACACAAAGAAGCCTAGCTTCAGACCACTGAAATATACCATGATCTACAAGTCAACAATATAATCTGCCAAGTAGCAAGCATTAGTATGATCCCTGTTTTCTCTTGCTAGCAGTTCTATCCTTATATCCTCCTCCCAAAATGCAGCTGTCTTCTCTACCTCAGTGAATGGCACAACCATCTACCCAGCTGCTTCAAACCAAGAAGTCATCCTTGATTTCCTTGTGTTCTCTTGTCGCCATGTCTGCCCCACCAGAAGTCCCATCAGCCATACCTCCAGAATCCACCCCAACCTACTAACTGGTCTTCATCTCCCCTGTCACCGTCCTGCCCCAACCTACAGCCACCATCTAGAACTAAACTACTGCCATATCCCACCTGCCTTCCTGCTTCTACTTCTGTGCCTGCCTACACTCAATCATTCAAAGAGCAGGCTGGGGGCCGGGCATGGTGGCTTATGTCTATAATCCCAGCATTTTGGGAGGCCAAGGCAGGAGGACTGCTTGACCCCAGGAGTTCAAGACCAACTTGGGACATCACAGTGAGACCCTGTCTATAACAACAACTTAAAAAATTAGCTGGGCATGGTGGCTCATGCCTATAGTTCCAGCTACTTGGAAGGGTGAGGTGGAAGGATCGCTTGAGCCCAGGAGATCGAGACTGCGGTGAGCCATGATTGTGCTACTGCTCTCCAACCTGGGCAACAGAGCAAGACCCTGTCTCAAAAACAACCACCACCACAACAAGCAAACCAAGACCAGGCCAGGTGATCCACATGAAATATAAGACAAATATGTTCTTCCCCTGCATAAAACCTCCCAAAAGCTCCCATTTAAAAAAAAAAAAAAGCCAGGTATGGTGGCTCATGCCTGTAATCCTAGCACTTTGAGAGGCCGACGTGGCAGATCACTGGAGGTCAGGAGTTCAAGACCAGCCTGGCCAACATGGCGAAACCCTGTCTCTATTAAAAATACAAAAATTAGCTAGAAATTGCTTGAACCCAGGAGGCGGAGGATGCAGTGAGCCAAGATCATGCCTCTGATCTTGCTCCAGCCTAGGCAATAGAGCGAGACTCCGTTTCAAAAAAAAAAAAAAAAGCCATATTCCTTCCACGGCTTTCCAGACCCTGCCTGTGCTGTGGCCTGAGCCCTTGCTGTCCTCATCTCCTGAAGCCCCAGCTTCCTCTGAGTCATGTCTGTGCTCCTCCAAGGCCCTTTGGACTTGCCCTGGGAGCTGCCTGGAATGGCCTTCCCACAGACCTCATCTCACAGGCTCCCCTCTGCGCTCATCCTACCCCCACGCCATTCACTCCATCCTGTTGGTCCTGTGTTCCTTCATATCACTTATTAGAATCTGAGAGCAATTAATTAGCCTATGCATTCTGAAAAAAAATCTGTCTCTCTCCATTTTGAATAGGAAACACATTTCAACAGAACACATTCTCTTGCTCACTAACACATCTCCAGAGCCTAAAACACTGCCTGGCTTCTAGAATGAATATATTTGGTAAAAATCTGTGAATGAATTAACAGCATCCCTCAAAGCCATCTTTGTCTTTTAAAGTTCTTGACATCTTAATCATATTAAAATGTAAGAGAAAATGTGAAGTCTTTTCATACTTTCTATAACACTCGATAAAGCAAAATGTTAGGCCCTAAAATTGTATAAAATAACATAAAACAAAATCAGAAGGGTTGAGTCAAGTAGGCTAATACATAAACTACATCAGTGAAGAGCCCCAAACTGAAGATCTTTATTGCTGTAATTGCATACATAAGTGCAAAGATGAGAACGGAGAGGATAAGGAGGTGGGGGAGAGGAACCCATCAGGGAAGGGAACAAAGTGGGGGGGGGTAGGTAGGAAGGGTACCAGTTATGACATTATTCCCACAGCATGTTCTGTCTCGAAGGGCAACTGACCTCAAGAGGATTGTTAGTTAGAAATGTCCCCAACAGCCATTTTCTGGAAATCAGCAGAGATACTAATTATCGAAAATTTCTCTCCCCATAGATAAGCACATTCTTCCTCATCCCTCATTGACACCCCAGTCCTCAGAACCCCCTGTATCATTATATCGTCGCCCTCTCCAGTTTTCAAGAAACTCCTTGACTGCGCATCCAATGAACGCATAGTTCTGTTACTGAGCTGCTATTTAAGTATAGGGCATAACATTTCATACAAGAGTATCTTTAATTTTCTTCTTTGTTTTATGTTCACTTTGATGGGGGAGTAGAGAGGTCGTACAGAGCCAATGAATAAAGGAAGACAAAATGCAATCACATCAAGTTGAAGGAAAGAAATTCCCAATTCTGAGGAAATGCCTTCACACAACATTAAGGGATTTTATACC
This sequence comes from Homo sapiens, assembly GCF_000001405.40. Taxonomy (NCBI): domain Eukaryota; kingdom Metazoa; phylum Chordata; class Mammalia; order Primates; family Hominidae; genus Homo; species Homo sapiens. Next base: position 240,125,867 of record NC_000001.11, on the reverse strand, counting down.
TTTGTTGTTTGTTTTTCACGCTCGATGCCACACCCAGCTGCCCTCCAAAATAAGATGATGGGGAAGAGTTACTAGTCTCTAACACAAGGATGGAGTGAGGTGAGTATAAGAAACAACCAGGTTAGTTGATTTTAAAAAAGAGAGAGAGAAAGAAATAGGATTACCCTATTCTTTTCTGTTTATCCAATTCTACATTTATCGACTGGCAAGACTGTTCACTTCTGGGCTTTAAAGGAGGAAAATGCCGTTAACTTGGGAACAGTTTGAATCAAAAAGCAAGTGCTAGACATGGCTAGTGTTTGCCTTTGCCTGCACTATACTAATTATAGTTCCAACTTGCCAAATCAATATATCTTCTAGAACTGAGCTCTATAACATTTAACACACCATCATTCTAGCGTTCTGCCTCTACAATAACACAGACCTGTCATACAAGAGAAGGGAGGAAAACATTTAAGTTATATATTTTTTCCCATAAGAGAAAGAGATCTACCTAGCAGCGATTAGCTGCAATGTCATTTTAAAAAATTGCAGCAGGAAAAATGTAAACAAATCTCAGGAAGGAAACTTCACAAGTCACAGCACAACATGGGGAATTTTCTTTCAAATGGGAAGCATCAAGAATCAAGAAGCTCTCTGAATATTTTATGTGATTTATTTTCTTAATACTAAAGGAAGATTGAGGAAGACTGCAGGCTGTAATGGGTAAAGAAGAGGAAGCAAAGTGAACAGGCAGATATAGACACTTTATTATTTATTATCGTATCTTGACCTCAGCTGGGGCTTTGTCATTGTCTTTAAAGCTCATCATTATTTTATTCCTATATATTGAAGAAGGCTGATAAGAGAGCACTGTTGGCAGCAACAAAACAAAGTAACTAACCCATATGATGAAAAACCACGGCCAGGCGCAGTGGCTCACGCCTGTAATCCCAGCACTTTGGGAGGCCGGGGCGGGTGGATCACGAGGTCAGGAGTTCAAGAACAGCCTGAACAACATGGTGAAACCCCGTCTCTACTAAAAATACAAAAATTAGCCAGGCATAGTGGTGCGCACCTGTAATCCCAGTTACTCAAGAGGCTGAGGCAGGAGAATCGCTTGAACTCGGGAGGTGGAGGTTGCAGTGTGTCAAGATAGTGCCACTGCACTCCAGCCTGGGGAACAGAGTGAGACTACGTCTCAAAAAAAAAAGAAAAATCATTATCCTCAACTAAAAATCCTGGGCTCTGCACAAGTGAGCCAACCTTCAATTTTGTTATGAGAATTTCATCCACGAGAATTCTTACACATCTGGGTTTTAGAGGCGTACTCATCCCAACCAATGCCACACACATACCACATACCTGAGAACGACTGGCAATACTCTGCCTTGACAATGAGAATCCAGCTGTGTTCATATTCATTATGAATTGTGAATATGCCTGGTGAATTACTGTTGTACAGTATTAACTCTCTTGGTGAATGGGAGCTGGGGATGAAGCAGACAATGCTGCTTCACGTCCGTACTTCACACAAACATGAGTTAGGAACGCACAAAATAGCATCGTAGGGCCCATGGAAACCTCCGGCCCACTGGGAAGAATAACTGTGCCCCGTGGAGCTGCTTCTGAAGGAATGCCTACGACCAGCCAAGTCATACATATGGACTTACAGCCACTTTAGAATCATCGCTGATTACAGGGTCTTGAAGAGGTATTTGTACCTCATGTTCATAGCGGCATTATTCACTCATTATGAACCCATATTCATAGCAGCATTACAGCAAAAGGTGGAAACAACCCACATGTCCATTGATGGATGAACGTATAAACAAAATGCAACATATACATACAATGGAATATGATTCAGCCTTAAAAGGGAAGGACATTCTGACACATGCTCCAACATGGATGAATCTCAAGGACATCATGCTAAGTGAAATAAGTCAGCCACAAACAGGACAAATACTGTATAATTCCACTTATATGAGCTACCTAGCATAGTCAGATTCATAGAGACAGAAAGAGAATGGTTGTTGCCAGGGGCTTGGGGAAAGAGGAGGATGGGGAGTTATTGTTTAATGGGTACAGGGTTTATTTTGGATGATAAAAAAGAGTTCTAAAGATGGATGGTGGTGGTGGATGCACAACCACGTCAATGTATTTGATGCCACTAAACGGTACATTTAAAAATGGTTACAGAGGTAAATTTTATGTTGTCTGTATTTTACCACAATTAAAAATAATTTAGAAATCAATTTTTAAAATCATCGTTGATTAAAGCAGGCTAGAGAACTCTTGAGTGACCATCTGTCAAGAAAAGGAGGTTTGGCAAATGTACTTAATACGCTAGTTTTTTTTCTTTCTTTTTTT